>NC_000017.11:10036565-10188080 GCF_000001405.40 Homo sapiens | reverse complement strand
AGTGGAGATGGGTTTCACCATGTTGGCCAGGCAGGTCTCGAACTCCTGACCTCAAATGATCCACCTGCCTCGGCCTCCCAAAGTGCTGGGATGAAACTGAATTTAAAAAATAAAAATATTGGTTAATGATGCTAAATGTCTTTGTGGAGCTAGCATAGTTCACATTTCTCCTCACAGTGAGGCAAAAAGAGATGGTGTGTCCAGAAAAGAATTACTTTTCAAAAGTGGGAACTGTGTGTACCAAACATTCTGTAAGTATCCTTTTGTGGGAAGAATAGGTAGAAGGAATACATGCTGGCCCGGGACTGCATTCTTATAAATATCCTCAGTAACAGCAAATCTTTGTCTTTTGAGGGGTGGATTTGATTTTTTTTGGAAACAGCCAAAATTCATTCAAAGCCAAGTCTGGTGTGTCTGTTCATGTGACTGTCTGTCTGTCACCTTGTGGCAAATAGGATTTAAGGCAGCTTACCAAAAAGCATACGGTACAAAAAGATAAAAGCATAAACACATGAGGAAATCTGTGGAAAAGAAAAACTCAGATGATTCCGGAGTGAAGTTTGATGAGCAAAGCGAGTAACTGAGTTAAGTAATGCCGTTCAGGGCTAAAAAAGAGGTCCTACCTTAAAGTAATGATGAATTTGAGCAGTGAATGAGGAGTAACAGAAATATTCTGAAAAAGGTAGCATTGTGGGGGTGTGTGCTATATGGGTCAGGATGGGTTACTTTATGCCACCACAGCAATCTCAGTGGTAAAGCAACATGGATTTGCTTTTTGCTCATGTTGTAAGTCTATTGTGAGTTGGTCCAAAGCCGCAAGACCTCCAGGACCCAGGATGATGGAACGCCCAGTGTGTGGAATGCTCAGGGACTGTGTCAAACAGCACATGGTTCTTAAAGCTTTTGCCCAGGAATGACACATGACACTTCTGCTGGTATTTTATTGTCTAAAGCACAGCCACACCTAACTTTAAGACAGTGAAAAAATACAATCCTGCCGTGTGTTTGGAAGGAGAAAAGGAGCAAGCTGTATCTATGTAGATGGCCCTGTTGACCACCACATGGGTAACCACTCATGGGGACACCCCAGTTCCTGTCTGTTTCAGTTTCAGCATTTTATCATCGCACCTAGAGCAGTGCTTCTCAGACTGAATTCAGTGCTGCTACAGCAAAGTGGTTTCTGTTTTTTTTTGGAGACAGAATCTTGTTCTGTCGCTCGGGCTGGAGTGCAGTGGCACTGTCCTGGCTCACTGCAACCTCTGCCTCCCGGGTTCAAGTGATCCTCCTGCCTCTGCCTCTCAAAGTGTTGGGAGTATAGGCATGAGCCACTGTACCCAACCCAGTCTAATATTTTCATATTATAAAGAAGGCTTTGGGCCGGGCACGGTGGCTCACGCCTGTAATCCCAGCACTTTGGGAGGCTGAGGTGGGTGGATTATCTGAGGTCAGTAGTTCGAGACCAGCCTGGCCAATGTGGTGAAACCCAGTCCCTACTAAAAATACAAAAAAATTGGCCTGGCTTGGTGGCACATGCCTATAATCCCAGCTACTCAGGAGGCTGAGGGAGGAGAATTCGTTGAACCCAGGAGGTGGAGGTTACAGTGAGCCACCGAGATCGCACCACTGCACTCCAGCCTAGGCAACAGAGTGAGACTAGGTCTCAAAAAAAAAAAAAAAAGCCTTTGAATACGTGGGGCCTGGCTTCTGGTGTAGGGACATCAGAGCCTAGCTGTACAATATCACTATACATGGTGTGAGATCTGTGCTTCTCCAACATGAATGGGTGTGCATATCACTCGAGGCTCTTGTTAAAATGCAGACTCTGGCCACGCGCGGTAGCTCACACCTGGAATGCCAGCACTTTGGGAGGCCGAGGCAGGCGGATCACAAGATCAGGAGATCGAGACCATCCTGGCTAACGCAGTGAAACCCCGTCTCTATTAAAAAAAAAAATACAAAAAATTAGCTGGGCATGGTGGGCACCTGTGGTCCCAGCTACTCTGGAGGCTGAGGCAGGAGAATGGCGTGAACCAGGAGGCGGAGCTTGCAGTGAGCCGAGAATGCGCCACTGCACTCCAGCCTGGGTGTCAGAGCGAGACTCCGTCTCCAAAAAAAAAAAAAAAAAAAAAAATGCAGACTGATTTAGTAGTCTGAAGTGGAAACCTGAATCTGAAAGAAAAAACCAAACTCTCTGCTCACACTCCATCCTGTTTCTCCACACTCACACAGCACCAGACACTTCTGTGACTTGATTGGGGGTGGCGAGTGTTTTCCCACACACCAGGCGGGTTCTTCAGTGGACACCAGCTGAACCTCTTATATTTCTATTGGGTTGTGACATTGTCTACCTGGTGTTGGAGTCAGATCCTACAGGCTGAGAGCGCAGTCCCACAAGAGTGCCCCACTTCATATGTCAAGTAGTGTCACTTATATTTCTGATTGACCGGCTGTAAATTGGGTTTCCCACTGCTCCCTGCTTGGGTTTGATTAATTTCCTAGGATGGCTCACAGAACTTGGGGAAACACGTTTACTGGTTTACTATAAAGGATACAGATGAACAGCCAGAGGAAGGGGTGCATTCTGCAAGTTGAAGAATTTTTCTAAGTTTCCCAGGATTGCTCTGAGGGCCAGGAGAAGCTGGGAGAAGAGCTTGGCACCTTGTACACACTCCATAAGTGGAATTCATATTTCTGCATGCTCTAGTGATCATAGTTGAATGCTGGGGGCTGCCTGTTCAATGCCAGGGCATATGGGGGTAGGGGTGTGCAGCTTCCATGCCCTCTCTGGACTCTCCTAGCACCTCCATGTGTTCAGCAACCCAGAAGCTTATCAAATCTTGTTCAAGAGTTTTTATAGGCTGGGCAGGGTGGCTCATGCCTGTAATCTCAGCACTTTGGGAGGCCGAGGAAGGTAGATCACCTGAGGTCAGGAGTTCAAGAACAGCCTGGCCAACATACAAAACCCCGTCTCTACTAAAAATACACAAATGAGCCTGGTGTGGTGGCACGCGCCGTAGTCTCAGCTACTCAGGAGGCTGAGACAGGAGAGTTGCTTGAACCTGGGAGGTGGAGGTTGCAGTGAGCCTAGATCACACCACTGCACTCCAGCCTGAGTGAGACACAGCAACACTCCGTCTCAAAAAAAAAAAAAAAAAGAGTTTTTATAGAGCTTGGTCTCCAGCCTCCCATGGCCCCCCTTTTCCTGGAGGTCAGCAGGTGGGGCTCAAAAATCCCAACCCTCTAATCCTCTAATAACTTGTTCCTGGTGACCAGCTCCAACCTGGGCTATCTGAGGGCCCCCACCCTAAGTCACCTTATTAGCATCCACTGAAGTGTGATCAAATGGGCTCATTATGAATAACAAACAACATTCCTATCAGGAAATTCCAAGGGTTTGAGGAGCTATGTGGCAGGACCTGGGGACAAGGACCAAATATATTTCATATTACACCACACTGGGATTCTGCATTTCCCGCCAGCTCCCAGGTGATGCCACTGCTTCCAGTCTGCCGGCCACAATTTGAGTAGCAAGGCATTTGAATACCCTTAGGGGTTTTCAGTTTGTCTGCAAGACTTGTTAAATCCTGGAATTAGATTGGATTTAGTTTACTTTCATTCTTTCTCTTTAAAAGTGGATTATATGAGGCTACCCAGGGTCATGGAAAGAACACAGGTTTTGGAATTAGACCTCTGTGAGTATATTTAATCCGAGGACAGAGATATGGTGGCTGGTGTTCCTGTTTGACCAGAGGAGTTTCCTTGATCATGAGGTGGAGGTGGGCCTCAGGGAGGCTTTCCTGGGGCCAATGCCAGGAGCCTGGCTAAGGAGGAAGTGCAGGATTCAGCCGCTGGAAAGGCTGGGGGGCAGGGTCTGGACTGCAGTATGAACCAGGACGATGGAGAGGCAGCCAGGGATGGTCTTGCCAGATGCCAACAGTGTCAGGAAAAACATATGCAACGGGGACATGGTCTCTACATCTTGAGACAGTTTATCAGTTCCAAGGGGATAACTGGTTGTTTTGTGTGGTTTGGTTTGTGAACTGGAATGTGAGCCCTGCAGCTGCTCCCAGTATGGACAGCTTAGACAACAACGTTCAAGGGTCGGCCAGAAACCCCTGGGAGGTGGGGGCAGCAGAGTGCTTGGCAAGAGGGTGGCAGGTCTGCGTACAAATCCCAGCTCAGCCCCTGCTACCTGTGTGAGAGCCCAGGCAAGTTGCAGAATCTTTTTTTTTTTTTCCTGAGACGGAGTCTCGCTCTGTCGCCCAGGCTGGAGTGCAGTGGCGCTATCTCAGCTCACTGCAAGCTCCGCCTCCTGGGTTCACGCCATTCTCCTGCCTCAGCCTCCCAAGTAGCTGGGACTACAGGCACCCGCCACCACGCCCGGCTAATTTTTTGTATTTTGTTTAGTAGAGACGGGGTTTCACCGTGTTAGCCAGGATGGTCTCGATCTCCTGACCTCGTGATCCGCCCGTGTCGGCCTCCCAAAGTGCTGGGATTACAGGCGTGAGCCACCGCGCCCAGCCAGTTGCAGAATCTTTCTAAGTCTCCCAGGGCTCCTCTGAGGATCAGGAGAGCCTGGTAGAAGAGCTTTGGCACTTTGTACACACACACTCTGTAAGTGCAGTTTACCTTCCTGTATGCTCTGGTGATCATAGTTGGATGCTGACAGCTGCCTGTTAACTGGAGTTTCATTGGGGCACACAGGGCGGATGGTGTTGGGGAAGTAGGGGGACCCTTTTCCAAGGGCCTCTCTGAGGTCGTACTGCAAGACTGTCTGGTGCAGCATTATCGATGAGGCACAAATCACTTGTGAGTCTTATGAAATGCAGATTTGGATTCAGTAGGTCTGGGGTGGGGCCTGAGATTCTGCATCTCCAGCATATTCCCATGGGATGTTGCTGGTATTGGGATAACACTTGGGGAGTTGCATACAAGATGGTATAGCATTTTCCTGAGGGTTTTCGGGGCGTAGGTCCTACAAGTGAAAGCAAGGGAAGCTGCAGCGTCTGGCCATTGCTAGTTTATTTGAAACTGCTACATAATGGTTGCTGCTCCTCAGGCTGGGCTAATTAGTCTTAATGGCTTCTTACCTGGGTTTGATGGGCCTCCGGCTGCCTGGGCACTCCCACACAAAACTCTTTTTGTAATGAGGAAAAGGCTATTTATTGGGAGAGGTGAAACTCAGGAGACTGCTGAAGGACTCAAGCATTCGTTTTTGTCTTTTTGCCTGTTGCTGGGGCAAAGGAAAGGTTTGTTTCAAGGGGCTGGATGGAAAATCTCTTTTTAAAGTGTTGCTGTGGAGCTCAGAATCTAATCCTGGGCCCGTGTTGTAGGGCTGTACACTGCAGATGGTGGCGGTACCACAAAGCCGGTGTCTCCTGCAGCCCCTAGATGGAACTCTCAGGTCCTTGCTGTCGGAGACTTAGTCTGGATTTCTGCCGTGTGCCCTAACAGGAGTGGCTGTCCATTTTATCCCCCTAGTGATGTCCATCTGTCACAGGGTGAACCCCAAAATTGGGGCTGAGCCTGGGAGGCCACATGGGTTCTTGGCTTCACACAGGAAATAATTCAAGAGTTAGCTGACAAAGTAAAAGCAAATTTATTAAAAAGTAAGGGAATAAGGCCGGGTGCGGTGCCTCATGCCTGTAATCCCAGCAGTTTGGGAGGCCGAGGTGTGTGGATCACCTGAGGTCAGGAGTTCAAGATCAGCCTGGCCAACATGGTGAAACCCCATCTCTACTAAATATGCAAAAATTAGCCGAGCGTGGTGGTGGGCGCCTGTAATCCCAGCTACTCGGGAGGCTGAGGCAGGAGAATCGCTTGAACCCAGGAGGTGGAGGTTGCAGTGAGTCGAGATCGTGCCATTGCACTCCAGCCTGGGTGACAAAAGTGAAACTCCGTCACACACACCAAAAGTAAGGGAATAAAAGGATGGCTACCGCTTAGGTAGCAGTATGGGCTGCTTGACTGACTATACTTACTGTTATTTCTTGATTATATGCTAAACAAGGGGGAGATTATTCATGAGATTTCTGGGAAAGGGGTAGGGAGCTCTGGGAACTGAGGGTTCCTTCCCCTTTCAGACCATATAGGGTAACTTCCAGTCATTGCCATGGCATTTGTAAACTGTCCTGGCGCTGGTGGGAGTGTCATTTAGCATGCCAATGTGTTATAATTACCCTATAATGAGCAGTGAGGATGACCAGCGGTAGCCTCTGGCTGCCATCTTGGTTTTGGTGGGTTTTGGCCGGCTCCTTTACTGGATCCTGTTTGATCAACGGGGTCTTTGTGACCTGTATCTTGTAAAACAAGTCCTGCCAAATTCCTATCTCATATCCTCCAGAGTGATGGTGCAGTGATTTTTGTAGCCAGTTTGATCACGGAACTCTGCTGTTTAACATTTTTCATAGGTTCTTCATTGCCTTTACAATATACCATGCCTTAGCCTTGTTTACAAGCCCTTCATGACCCAACCCCTGTCTATCTCCTGAGCTGCATTTTAGCTATTTATTCACGTGCATGATGTTATCAGAACCACATGGAACTACCTGATTCTTGGGTACAGCTTTGCTTTTTTTTGCTTCTGTACCCTGTGCATGCTGTTCCTGTTCCTCGAAGTAACCCTCCTCCCCCATCCTCTTCTTTACCCTTACTCCCTTTTCTTTCTGTTTGACAGCTCTATTGAGATATATCCCCATTCTATTCTATTCTTTTTTTTTTTGAGGTGGAGTCTTGCTCTGTCACCCAGGCTGGAGTGCAGTGGCTCAATCTCAGCTCACTGCAATCTCCACCTCCTGGGTTCAAGCGATTCCCCTGCCTCAGCCTCCCGAGTAGCTGGGATTACAGGCATGCACCACCACGCCCAGCTAATTTTTTGTACTGTAGTAGAGACAGGGTTTCACTGTGTTAGCCAGGATGGTCTCGATCTCCTGACCTCGTGATGTGCCCGCCTTGGCCTCCCAAAGTGCTGGGATTACAGGCGTGAGCCACCGTGCCCCCACCGCCACCCCCGCACTGCCACCCCCCACCCCCCGCCACCCTCATCCTTATTCTAGACCCCTTAACACTTACCCTACTGGGTTGGAATTTTGTTGCCACCCACTACATTGTGGAATCCTTGAGCTCAAGGATTGGGTCTCTGATCTTTTAAGCCTTTAGCGTCCTTGTACAACCAGGCTTAGGGACTTGATAAGAAAACAAAGGGTTATAGTTCCCTCATGCTGACATTCATGGTGCCGATGAATACCAGATTCTGAGTTTGCTGCCCATGGTAGTTACTTGGCTTCACATGGGGAAAAAAGTAACAATAAGGAGTTACAATAAAATAAATACAAAACAATAAAAATCCCATGCAGGCATCTTACACATGCATAGGATAGGTAACAAGATTGATTGGGGAACAGAGTGTGTGTGACTCAAATAGAACATCCCTGCTGCAGGGCAAATAACTCAGATTCCATGAAGTCATTGTATATATAGGGCAGCAAACCATTATTATTTCGTGCTGGAGAGAAAAACAGGCGTTGAAGAAATCGGCCTCCCTTGGGATTGATTTGATTATTGGGTGACTCCTTGGATGGGGGTGTTCTCGATTTGTGGGCATCTTGGCAGGCAGTTTGGTGCAATGGTGATGAGCGTGGTGTTTAGAGCTGATCAGACCTGGGTTTGCATGCTGGCTGTATGAGACTTTAGGCATATTATTTACCTTAACTTCTACCTCAGTTTCCATAGCTTTTTTTTTTTTTTTTTGAGGCAGAGTTTTGCTCTGTCCCTCCAGGCTGGAGTGGTCTTGGCTCACTGCAACCTCCGCCTCTCGGGTTCAAGCGATTCTCCTGTCTCAGCCTCCCAAGTAGCTGGGATTACAGGCACCCACTACCATGCCTGGCTAATTTTTGTATTTTTAATAGAGATGGGGTTTCCTCACGTTGGCCAGTCTGGTCTCGAACTCCTGACCTCAGGTGATCCACCTGCCTTGGCCTCCCAGAGTGCTGGGATAACAGCCATGAGCCACCACGCCCAGCCATTAGTTTCCGTATCTTTAAGTGGGAATAATAAGGCCCACATCAGAGGATTGTTGTGAAAGTTACAATTGTTTTCCTAAACGTAAATGCTCCACTGAGAGCTTGACACCAGTTCTCAGTATTTGCTGATGGTCACTGCCATATTACGTATTTTGCATCCATTGCTCAGAATGCTGGTCATTACTATTTGCCTTCTTTATTAATAAAAGAAACCTGCTGTCTCGGAGCGTCCTTCCCAACCTCCTGGTCACCATTTTGGGTGGGGACCTTGTCTTTCTGACCCCTGGCCACTGTCACCTTAAGTCAGTTTCAATCTTGGTTCTGTTTGTCTGGTTTTAGCACCATCAGGTCCCTGTTTGTCTGGTTTTAGCACTGTCATTGAAGACATTTTTGCCCAAGGAAGTCACAGCCCTTCTGTGGATCTCTGAGTTTGTTATAGTGTATTTGGACCACAAACTTAAACCAAAAATTCATGTTCATAGTCTCAGTCTCCTCCTATCCAGATCCTCCCTGCATGTGATAAAATGTGACCAAGAATCTTAAGAGGTTAAGGGGATTGAAGGGGAGGGGAATCTTAGATAAGGTGACAGATAAACCAGCTTGGAAACACGGAGTTTTCTGCAACAGATTGCATCCAAGATCTCCTGAAATATCTCCCTGCTTGGTATAAGGGAAAATACTCTCCTCTCATTTGGTGTCACAGGACCTATGAATTTTTTTTTTTTTGAGATGGAGTTTCACTCATGTTGCCCAGGCTGGAGTGCAATGGAACGATCGATCTCGGCTCACTGCAACATCCGCCTCCCAGCTTCAAGCGATTCTCCTGCCTCAGCCTCCAGAGTAGTTGGGATTACAGGCATGCACCACCACGCCCGGCTAATTTTGTATTTTTAGTAGAGACCGAGTTTCTCCATGTTGGTCAGGCTGGTCTCGAACTCCCGACCTCAGGTGATCCGCCCACCTCAGCCTTGCAAACTGCTGGGATTACAGGCATGAGCCACCGTGCCTGGCCAGATGTTTTCAAGTTGATGTGTCTTGTGACATGGCAGAGGGGACATTGGTTCTCTCAGCCAGTCGACTACAGTTTTTGAGCTCTTTCTGTGCCCCAGCACCTGTCTGTCCTGGCCGTATAATCGGATCCTCCAAGGTGGTGGTTGTAGGGCTCTCTCTGCTCACCTTTTTTCTCTAATTCCCTCTGTTAACCAGCGAACAAAGAAAAGCCCTCCGCTGTCTGCCGTGACAGCCCACACAGGGAAGAGGGCAGAGATCTTCCTGTTTCTGATGACTTCTTGCTTTGAAAAGAGGAGGCAATTTTTGCTCATCAGCAAAAAAAAAAAAAAAAAAAAAAAAAAAAAAAGGTGGTGGGGGAGGGAGGGGAGTTGAGTTGGTGGTGAAGCTCTTTCAAAGATTTGCCTGTCCCTCTAGCCAGATTACTAATGCATGCTGATTAGAATGTGTGCTGGGAGAGACAGTGAGCTGGGGTTTAGGGATGTTCACAGGAGAGGTATGAGACAGGCTCCGTGTATGGTTTTCTGGAGCCCTGTGGTGGGCGTGGCTGTCAGATCCTGATAGGGTTTAGAATTTCAGATGGGCTTCTTCTGCCTCACCTGGGAGAAAATAGCCGGAGTGGACATGAAGCCAGACTCCTTCCTCATCTATGCAGAGTCCTCTATGTGGAGTCATTCAGAGAGTGTGGGGGTGGGGGCGGCGAGTTTGGGAGATGTTGGTATGGACTTGCCAAGGCATTGCCAAGCATTCCACGGGCACCACAGAACCATCTCTGGCCTAAGCCCTTCGTCCTGGTCCAAGAAGCCAGCGATACTTCTTGGCATTGCTGAATGGGAGAGGCAGGGGAGCTGAGCTTGCCTGGAATCCCCCATCTCCCAGCCCTGGTGCTTGCTTCAGGGGCCTGGATAAAGCAGCTGCTCATTCTGCCACATACACTCCCAGGGGACTGTGACTCAGGCTCTGGATCACTCCCTCCAGGAATCCCTCCGGCTCTGTAGGACCCAGTTTGAAAACCCAGTGTTATGTGATGCTAAATGCTGACATTCCTTCCCTGCCTGTCAGCTTTGCTCTCGGAGGTGCCTAATGGCGCCAGTGCTGACCTAATGCGGCCGGTGTTCTGGTTTGTTTCTGAATTGCGTGTTGAGGTAGTTGGGGGGCTTTGTTACTCTGGGTGGCTGGTCTGCTTTATTATTAGTCTTGGGGAAATGATTTCTCTGAGAAGCAGTAGAAGGTGTAAATTATGCTTCACTGCAAATCATCAAGACTATATATATATTCAGCTACAGCTGCAAGTCTCTTGCAAATGAGGACTGATGTGAGATGCAGCCAAGTTGGAAAGGGTTACGGTGCAGACAGGCAGCTGACATGATTGATAATCATGCAGTCACCTGTACTTGGCTTTCTATGGCTTGTGGTCTGGGGAGAAGAGCAGCAGTCATGCTTAGAGGCTATACTCCATCTGAGAAGGCTGGAGGGCAGCAGTGAGAAGGTAACACCTCCATAGGAGCAGACACAGTCTCCATTAACCTGGTCCTTAGTAAATATCTCTTGGGTTTCCACCGAGCCAGGGACCCCACACATGGCGTCAGCAGCATCCTCTCCACACCTGATCTCCACTGGCTCCCCATTGCTTGAAGTGTCAAGACACTCCTCATCTGGACCTTGCACAAATATGGACCCTGTACAAACTGCACCTGGCCTCACTCCTTCTCCAGCCTCCTTACTTTCCCTCTCCTGGGGAGCGGGAAGCAACCTGACACCTCTGTGCCTTTGCTCGGCTGCAGCTTCTGTCTAGAGGCCCTTCTCATCCCTGTCGAGGGAATGATGATCTTTTATCAAGATCCAGCCCATGGACCCCTTCCTCTGTGTGGCCTTTGCTCTCCCCCAGGCAGAGTCCTTTCTTCTGCTGGCTTGCATGGGGATCTCCTGCTGGGATGGCACCAACCACATGGGACTGCGATGCCTTATTTATTTGACTGTTTCCTCCATTACACTCTGAGCTCTGCAGGGCCAGGAACGCCACTTCCTAAACTTTTGTAACTACTCTGGTCTGGCATGGTGCTTGGTGTCTCTGAAGTCTGGCTCAGTAAGTATTTGATGACTGGATGGGTGAATCAAAGAGGATAAAGGGAGAGCTTGCCTTAAGAACTGGGGACATCTTGTCTGATTTTGGCTCACGGCTTAACCAGCTTGGGGTCACGGACGGCCAAGGTTAGAAGGAGTATAGCCAGGTCATCTTGGAGTGCTGACTATTAAGGGAAGGCCACTGGCTCCTGGAGAACAAGGCCATTGAGCCCCAGGCCAGGACTCCCAGGATTGGCAAGTGAAAGGCAGCTGGATGCTTGGAGTGGTCCTCTCTCCTCATCTCCTTCTCAGTAGGGCTGCTGCAGGGACAGCTGGGTGTAGCTGAGGGCCCTGGGTTTTAACTACGGTACCTTCCAACACCCCTTCCACAGAGTTATTGGCTCTTTGGCCTTGCAATGTTCATGTAAGATCTCTGACCTTCAGTTTTTTCAGCTGTCAAAAGGGTGGTGACACCCATTCTGCTGCCCATTCAGGGTGACTAGAAGGATTTTGAGGATGACTGGAAGGATTTTGAAGGTGATGGTGGCTGTGTACGGGATTTGAAGTTTACGGGTGATGAATGCAAGCGGTGCTAAGAGACGCTGTGCAGGGAGGAGAGTGGGGGAGTCTCTCCCCAGCTCTTGCACCCAGCTGTCCCGACTCAACCAGGTGGCTTGGTCTAACCCCTCACCTCTCTGCTGTGGTCATCCTTTCTCCTCTGGCCTCTTTGAAGTTGCTTCTGAGGCCTCCTCCTAAGACCTCCTCCCTGTCCCTGCTATCCGATTAGGAAAGCTGTTGGAATTCTTGGCCCAGACAAGCTTTAATCATTTGCAGTAAGAGCTCTGTTGCCTCCTTCATCCTTCCCTGCCTTCAGTTAAGCCCCTCTAAGGCTCGAGGTGTGTTCTCAACCCTGGGATATAGCCGAGAATGAGATGGAGTGGACAGGACTCAGGGGTCCCTAGGATCAGAGGGTTCATTGTCCGTGGGGAACCAGACCGAGTGATAACGGGGATGTGCCCAGCACAGTGAGGGGCCCCAGGGGACAGTCAGGGCTGTGGGAGTGCTCAAGAATACCATGGGCTGAGTTTGGACCCACTCCCCACTCGTATTTGAAGTCCCAACCCCTAGTACCTCAGAATGTGACTGCATGTGGAGAAAGAGTCTTTAAAGAGGTAAGTTAAAATGCATGGCCAGCTGTAGTAGCTCATGCCTGTAATCCTAACCCTTTGGGAGGCCAAGACAGGAGGATCACTTAAGGCCAGGAGTTGAAGACAAGCCTGGGCAACATGGTGAGACCTTGGCTCTACAAAGTACAAATAAAAAGAAAAAGAATTTTTGACCACACTGTTGTAGGTCAAGGAAAATAACTAACTAACTAACTAACTAACTAAATAAAATGCGGTCATTAGGGTGGGCCCTCATCCTGTATGACTGGTGTCCTTTTAAGAAAGGGAAATGAGGACACAGATACACACAGAGGGAAAACCGTGTGAAGACATAGGGAGAAGACGGCTGTTTGTAAGCCAGTGGGGAGAAGCCTTACAAGCAACCTTGAGCTTGGATTCCCAGCTTCTAGAACTGTGAGGAAATAAATTTCAGTGGTTTAAGCCACCCAGTCTATGATTCTTTTTTGTGGCAGCCCCAGCAAACTCACACAAGCCCCTTACCCTGGGCTTGGGTAGGCAACTTATTTACATAGTTCCACATGGGATCAAAACCTTGAAAAAACATAGGGACCTAGGGACAGTTTGCTTGTCCCATTTTTCTTACTAACATGTATTCCTAGCTGAAGGGTTATATAGTTCACTTCTTTACCTTATTATCATTAGAATGTGAACTCCAGGCCGCGCGTGGTGGCTCGTGCCCATAATCCCAACACTTTGGGAGGCCGAGGCAGGAGCATCACTTGAGCCCAGGATTTCGAGACCAGCCTGGGCAACATAGTGAGACCCCCATCTCTATAGAAAATAAAAAATTAGCCAGGCGTGGTGGCATGCACGTGTGGTCCCAGCTACTCGGAAGTCTAATGTGGGAGTATCGCTTGAGTCCAGGAGGCCGAGGCTGCAGTGAGCTGTGATTGTGCCACTGCACTCCAGCCTGGGTGACAGAGTGAGACCCTGTCTCAGAGAAAGGAATGTGAGCTGCATGAGGGCAGAGCTGCATCAGGTCAAAGCCCGTGAAGGCACTGGCACGTGTCTTTTGGAAGAATTCTGTCTGAACCTGGGGCCTGAAGTCAAATTCCTCACTCTGGGCTTCAATCCAGAATTGTTTTTTATTTTTTTTAATTATTTTTTTTGATACGGAGTCTCGCTCTGCCGCCCAGGCTGGAGTGCAGTGGTGCGATCTCAGCTCACTGCAAGCTCCGCCTCCTGGGTTCACGCCATTCTCCTGCCTCGGCCTCCCGAGTAGCTGGGACTACAGGCGCCCGCCACTGCGCCCGGCTAATTTTTTGTATTTTTAGTAGAGACGGGGTTTCACCATGTTAGCCAGGATGGTCTCCATCTCCTGACCTCGTGATCCGCCCGTCTCGGCCTCCCAGAGTGCTGGGATTATAGATGTGAGCCACCGCGCCTGGCCAGAATTTTTAATTAAAATAGCTGGTTTTCTGCATCCAGGTCTCTGTTTAGTGCTCACCCTGCAAGGTGAGTTGCTGTTTGTTCTACAGACTGCATCCCCTATATCCCTCTAATCTCTACTCAGTCCCCAAATGTGATTAACATGTGTTAAAAATCAGAGAAGAAAGATTCCTTTATTAGCTTTTGTTTACACTGGGTGAATTGAGCCACAGACTATATTACACTAAGTCCTAGCAGCCTATGAGTTTGAACGTTGTCACCCTCCAGAGGGTTTGCTTAATGAGGCCAGGGATTCCATCATTAGTGTCCTGAAACGCCTATGACAGTGCCTGGCCCAGGGTTGGGCACTTACTCATGTTATTCACTTATTCATATGTGGGAATGAACAGTTCAGCCAGTATAAAGGACAGGTGAGTACACACCAAGGAGATCTTCAGGGAGAGATCAGCTGGTTTTCCTGTGAAGATGTCAGCTTCATCCCTCCACCGTCTCCCTGTGCTCATGGCTCTGTTCCCTTTCCAGGCTGCTGCTGCTGGTTCTTTGGGTCTGCAGCCACCTCCCACCCCCATGAAGGGCAAACCCAGCATTATGTTACCTCCTCAGTATAAAAGGAGAGAGGGTCTCTTTTTTTTTCTTTTTTTTTTGAGACGGAGTCTAGCTCTGTCCCCCAGGCTGCAGTGCAGTGGCACGATCTCGGCTCACTACAAGCTCCCCCTCCCGCATTCACGCCATTCTCTTGCCTCAGCCTCCCCAGTAGCTGGGACTACTGGCACCCGCTGCCACACCCGGCTAATTTTTTGTATTTTTAGTAGAGACGGGGTTTCACCGTGTTAGCCAGGATGGTCTTGATCTCCTGACCTTGTGATCCGCCCATCTCTGCCTACCAAAGTGCTGGAATTATAGGCGTGAGCCACCGCGCCTGGCCGAGAGAGGGTCTCTTTTTATACCTCAGAGCTCCTCGGGTCCCTGATTTCGGGAAACTCATTACTTACCTAGGAATCATTCCTCCTTCTCTTCATTTTTTTTCTCTCCCTCTTCCCCGCCTCCCCTTCTACTTTTAAAAAAAGTTGTGTTAAAATTCACATAACATGAAATTCACCATTTTAATGTTCAGTGGCATTTGGTACATTCACAGTGTTATACAGCCACCACCATTATCCAGTTCCAGAAGTTTCATCATCCCGAAAGTAACCCATACTCATTAAGCAGCCACTCCCCATTCTCCTCCCTTCGCCCGCCCCCAGCATCAGGCGACCACTCATCTGTTTTCTGGTTCTATGCATCTGCCTATTCTAGGTGTTTCACAGAAATGGAATCAGAATGGGTGGACTTCGTATTTGGTTTATTTCCGTTGACATGATGTCTTCAGGGTTCATTTGCGTAGTGACGTGTATCAGTACTTCATTGCTTTTCATGACTGAATAATACTCCATTGCATGGATATACCACATTTGTTTATCCATCCATCAGTTGATGGACACTTGGCTAGTTCCCATGTTTTGGCTGTTGTGAATAACACCATCCACTTCTTTTTCTGGTCTTCAGTTCTGCCTCCAGATGCTGAATCTTTAGTCTTTTGTTGAGACTGCATGGGTTACTGGCAATGGAAAAGGCACTTGAGAAATAAGAAGGTAGGCAGTGAGGGGCTCTGGCTACAAAGCGCTTCATTAAAGTCTGTCAAGCCTTAGTTTGCTCATTTCCTAAATGGGTGTAAAATTCCCTGCCTTGCTTACTCAGCCCTGCAGAATGTTGTAAGAGGCGCAAGCCACAGAATGTGAGGTTAAGCCCTTCCTAAGCTATAAAGTCAGATGTCAAGTGATAGTTCTGTATGTTCCTCATTTTTTCTTTGATTGTCTCCCTTTCTGTTTCTTTTTTTTTCTTCTTCTTTTTTTTTAATCTGCTTCCTCATTTCTCCTTTTGCTAATTGCTCCATTTGAATTCTGTTTTCCTTTCTTCTTTCCTCTGCTTTCAGCTGGCCTGGGGGCAAAGTTGAGAGCAATACAGAGTGTTATGCACAGTGCTGTGCTGGAGGTGAACAAGATGATTGGCTGCCCCCTGGGGAATCCTTGGGCAGGGCCGGACATGCGGCAGAGGAAGGAGGTTAGCTGCACTGGCTGGTGGGTGATGAGGTGAAGTCAACCAGGACTGGACCTGAGGAGTGGAATGAGGGCTGCCATGGCAGGCCATCCTATCTGGCTTAGATTTAGAGACTTCTTTTACACATAGCTTTGAGGTCTTTTGCAGTCCAGGAAGTAGCCAGATTGATGGGTAGTTAGGCAGATATTAGAATCCAAACAAGCAGACCCGAGGGACACTTAGGGGAAAGCAGCAGATGGAGGTGTATGCTTTTCTTAGTATGTTGCTTTTGCGAATGCTAGATCATCCGCTGTCCTGTGTGTGCTGTTTTCCCAGCTGAACTTGAAGCTTCTTGAAGACAAAAGTGATGACAGTCTTTTATTTTTGTGCTTGCTCCTGGTGCCCCTCAGAGAGTTCTGAACTTAAGTGGCATTTCCTGTGTGTGTTGAAACGTCACTTGTTTAGTCCTATAGCGGTTACAGAGGGCTTTCATGCAGGATTTCTCATGTAATCTTATCAACAGCCTGGCGAGGTGGATTCCATTTCTCAGATAAAGGCTCAGAGAGGTCAAAGAATTTGCTCAGGACACACAACCAATCAGAGGTTTCAACACTGCTTAGGACCAGCGTTCTTCACTGCTTCACCCGTCCCTTACACGGACTGCCTGGTTTTTATGGCAGATAAGAAGCATGTGGCTGTGATTATTTAGGGAGATGGGAAATGAATCCTTATGCATTTGGATCTTGTTCATTTTCGAGATTTCTTCCCCCTAGCGTCTTAGAATTTTCAAGTCCAAAAGAAGTTCTGTAAAAGTTGCAGGTGGTCTTTCCTATTACTCAAGCACTGTAGATTCCTTTTGTCTCAACAAACTTCAGAGACGCTTCAAGGGAAGCCGATTTCCTGCTAAATTGATGTGTTCCTCATTTGTTACCCGAAGACCTGATTTAAGGAGCTATTCTTGGTGACAGGCAGGGAGCCAGCTGTGAATGGGGTTCTGGGTTCGCTGTCAGAGCCCTGCTTGGACCAAGTTACTCAAAAGTCTGGCTCTGACTGGGTCTGGCAGGAGGGGCTGGTGTGTTGGAGTAAGCGAGCTTGGGGAAAGCTTGCCCGGAGGAAATTCGGTCAAGATGTTCAGTTTTAACACCTCTGGGTTTCTTCCAAACCAAAAGAGGAAAAGATTCTGACTGAAGGGATGAAGGAAGTTTTAGGATTTTCCATGAATGGAACTCAGAGCTTGAGGGATCCTGGATTCTTTGCGGCTCAAGTGAAGCTACAGAGAGAGAAATGGTGCCTGGGAGTTAGGAGGACTTTTGCCCTTGGCTGGGACTTAGGCAAATTGCTGAGCTTAGAAGACAATTGATCCCAGTGGTTCGCTGGCTCAGCCACAGAAAGTGCCAGCTGGCCTTTGAGTTGTTCAGGGATCTGTGATGGTATTTATGTGTGGCAGAGGGATACTTCTAAGCTCAGAGACCACCTCCGAGGTGACAGAGCTGCTGGGCAGAAGATGTAAGTTTAAAAGGCCACTTTCTTTCTCATTGGAACCTTTCAGCAGATTAACAAGATACGGGGCTCATTCACTGAACAAACGCTCGTTCAGTGCCAGCCGTGTGCAGGGCACAACCTGGAAAGTAGGAGATGTAGTAGTAGTAAAACCACAGACATCCTGACTTTATAGAGTTTACATTTTAGTTAGGGGTGACAGATAGCAAGGAAAACTAAGCAAACTGCATGGTGATCTAGAAAATGTGTCATTTTAAATGGGATGGGCAGAGAAGGTCTCATTAGGAGAGGGCATCTGTGCAAAGCCCTGGAAGATACGATGGAGTAAGCACGTGGATTGCTGAGAGAAGAGCATTCCAGCCAGAAAACAGAACAGCATGTGCAAAGGCCCTGAGGCCAGAGCATTCCTGGAGTGGTCAGGGAACAGCAAGGAGGTCAGTGTGGCTGGGGCAGAGTGAGTGTGTGTGGTGTGGGGAGTGTTGGAGATGGGGACAGAGAGGTGACCAGACTGAGGGGTGGGTGGGGCCAAAGCACGAGGGCTTTTGAGACCCTCACAAGGATCTGACATTTACCCTGAGTGTCAGGGGAGCCATTGAGCAGAGGAGTGACTTGAGCCAGCTGGATGTTTACAAGGATCACTCTGCTGCTCTCTTGGGAATGAATGATGGGGGGATGGAGGGGGGAGCAGAGGGTAGAAGGAGGGAGACAAGTAAGGTGGTTATTGCAGTAATATAAGCAAGAGCTGATGCTGGCTGTGACATGGCTGTCACCACTGGATTTTGGATGTATTTTGAGAGCGAGACCAATGGGATTTGGTAATGGGTTGCACGTATAAGGTTTGAGAGAGAACTCAAAGCGAGTTTCAAGGTTTTTGGCATAAGCAAATGGGAGGAAGGAGCTGGTTTGAAATGAGAAGGTGAGGAACGGAAGCAGCAGGTTTGGGGAGGAAATCAAGAGTTAAGTTTGAGATTCCTATATATGTTCAAGTAATGATAGTGAGTAGGCATTTGGAAAGAGGACTCTTAATTCAAGGTAGGTATAAATTTGAAGTCGTTATGGCGTAGATAGTCTTCAAGCCGCTGTACTGGATGAGATCACCTAAGGAGTGGGGTGGATGGAGAAGAGGTCTGGGGATGGGGCCTGGAGGCACCCCAAATTAAGAGGACTGGGCAGAGCAAGCCAACTGTAAAGGAGAAGGAGCAACCAAAGAGTGGGCGGAAAACCAGGAAACCAGACAGTTCTCCCTGGGTTCAGTGAAGGCAGCCATGGAGTCATCGGGACATTGACCTTATCTGCAGCTCTCAAGGAATGGAAAACCATCAGGGACCATCTGAGATATGGTCAAAGCCTCAGGGATGACGCACCCTTCCTGGTGTTGTTAGCATCTGTTTCATTACAAACAGCATAAACTGTAGCATGGCTGTGTTTGCCTGTCCGTAACCCCACCCAGACTTCACTGGCAGGCTTAACCCACAAGAAGTTTTAGGGAAGGAGGTACTGTCTACAAGGTTTTACATTGTGCTGAGTGTAAATGTGAACTTTTAAAATTATTAATTAATTTTTTTTTTTGAGTCGAAGTCTTGCTCTTGTTGCCCAGGCTGGAGTGCAATGACATGATCTTGGCTCACTGCAACTTCTGCCTCCTGGGTTCAAGTGATTCTCCTGCTTCAGAGTAGCGGGGATTACAGGTGCGCGCCACCATGCCTGGCTATTTTGTATTTTTAGTAGAGACAGGGTTTCACCATGTTGGCCAGGCTGATCTCAAACTCCTGACATTGTGATCTGCCTGCCTCGGCCTCCCAAAGTGCTGGATTACAGGCGTGAGCCACTGCACCTGGCCTAATTACTAATTTTTTTTTTTTTTTTGAGATGGAGTCTCACTCTGTCGCCCACGCTGGAGTGCAGTGGCGTGATCTCGGCTCACTGCAAGCTCTGCCTCCCATGTTCAAGTGATTCTCCTGTCTCAGCCTCCCAAGTAGCTGGGATTACAGGTGCATGCCACCATGCCTGGCTAATTTTGTATTTTTAGTAGAGATGGTGTTTCACCATGTTGGCCAGGCTGGTCTCAAACTCCTGACCTTGTGATCCGCCCGCCTCAGCCTCCCAAAGTGCTGGGATTACAGGCATGAGCCACCGTGCCCAGCCTAATTATTAATTTTTTAACCACACAATTAATATACAAATTAGACCATACATCCTCACTAGGGGCAATATCACCCTGCAGGGGGAAGAAATGGGTTCTGAGGTGCTAACAACATCCTAGGGCCTACAGCGGTTTGTGGCTCTCCAGCGGTCCACAGTACGTAAACAGACATACAGCCTGACTGTGGTATTAAAATTTCATGGTAGTGGGGGAGTGATTAGGAAAGAAATATCTTAAAAGGCTCCTTAGAGAGGGCAGTAATGAAAAAAGGTTGAAAAACCCAGAATTATTCTAAAGCCACCTTCAACTACTTCCCTAGGCCTCTGTGGAAAGATACTCTGATGATTTGTGGGTTTAGTTCTTTTAAATAAAGAAAACCAAGCTATTATTTCTTAACTTCTTTTTTTTCTCACTTGATAATGTATCTTGAAGTTATTTTTTTTTGTTAGCACATATACATCAGTGGTTATTTATAAAAACTGTGTGGTATTCTATAGTATGGATGTAGCATACTTTATTTTCCGTTCCTTAGTTGATGGATATTTAAAGTGCTTCTAATTTTTTCTTTTTGCTATTAAAAGTACCATGGCAAAGAATTGAGCCTGTAATCCCAGCTGCTTGGAAGCTGAGAGGTGGGAGTACCTTGAGCCCAGAAGTTAGAGTCCATCAACCTGGGCAACATGATGTAGTGAGAGGCCAGGTGCAGAGGCTCACACCTGTAATCCCAGCACTCTGGGAGGCTGAGGTGGGCAGGTGGCTTGAGCCCAGGAGTTCAAGACCAGCCTGCGCAACATGACAAAATCCCGTCTCTACAAAAAATACAAATGTCAGCCAGGCATGGTGGTGCATGCCTGTAGTCCCAGCTACTCGGGAGGCCCAGGTGGGAGGATCACCTGAGCCCAGAAGGTGTCGGCTCCTGTGGGCTGTGATTGTGCCGCTGCACTCCAGCCTGGGTGACAGAGCGAGACCTTGTCTCAAAACAAAACATATTGAGACCCTGTCTCTAAAAAAAGACACAGAAAAAAAAAGAAAAAAAAGACCTTCGCAATGTTTGCACAAGTGCCTGTGTTCGATGACTCTTCTCAAAGGTGGCAGAAGAAGATGACATGCTTGGTTATAGGGCCAATGCCCTCTAAACAGGTTGAAATCTTACGAAGGGGATATGAGCCAAGCCACCATCTCACCCCAGGCTCAGTAACCGGCCCTTACAGCCCAGCCCATTCTCTCCTTAATCTTTTTGACACCCACGTGAGGTTTATATTTTTTTCATGTCCTACTCTAGCTATGAGAAAACCGAAGTTTACAGATATAACTTTAAACAAGTTAGAAATAGACAAGCGGAGGCTGGGCGTGGTGGCTCATGCCTGTAATCCCAGCACTCTGGGAGGCGGATGGATCACCTGAGGTCAGGAGTTCGAGAACAGCCTGACCAACATGGAGAAACCCTGTCTCTACTAAAAACACAAAATTAGCCGGGCGTGGTGGTGCATGCCTGTAATCCCAGCTACTCGGGAGGCTGAGGCAGGAGGATCGCTTGAACCCAGGCGGTGGAGGTTGCGGTGAGCCGAGATCACACCATTGCACTCCAGCCTGGGCAACGAGAGTGAAACTCTGTCTCAAAAAAAAAAAAAAAAAAAAAAAAAAAAAAGACAAATGGAAATAGTAGATTGGTTTAGTCAAGTTAGAAATAACTAGAAGGCCACATGGCAGGTAGTGGCAGAGTGAAGTCCCAGAGCAGGGTCTCCACCCATCAGCTCGTGAAAGGACAAGTGATAGACTTTTGGGGATCTCTGGAGCCTTTGATCGAATGTGCCTGCGGGGGCTGTCCCAAGGCCTAGCTCATGGAAACGTAGGTCCTGGCTTTATCAATATGCTGGTCTTTTTAAATCAGTTATGAGTTCCTTATTTTGCAAACACAAGAGTGCTTGAAATTGTTTTTATCATCTTGTATTTTCACTGACTAAGCAGAATAGGGAAAATTTTTACTTAAAAAATTAGTTCATAGTAAGTAAAGGCTGCAAAATACCATGTATAACAAAATTCCAAATTTGTAAAACCAACAACGACAAAATGTGTGTGTGCACATAAAAGAAAGTCTGGAGGAAGATTCATTGAGAGGTTAATGATGGTTTAGTTTCTTGTTTGGATTTTCTGTGGTCAGAAGAATGTAATACATTATAAAAGGAAAGCATCAATACATATTTCATTGAAAAGCTAAAGGAAGAAAACTAGAGAAAGTGAAGGATATTTTCCTAACTTGGTATTTGCAAACTCTGATGCCTGTTTATCAAATTGGAGTTCTCCTTGGGAGTGAGTTGAAGGAGGTCCCTTGGGGCCCCCATCCCCTGGAAAGGAGCTGGTGTGGAAAGTCACCTGGTGTGGTGACTCACGCCTGCAATCTCACCACTTTGGGAGGCTGAAGTGGTAGGATTGCTTAGGCCAGGAGTTCGAGACCAGCCTGGGCAACGTAGTGAGACCCTGTCTCTACTAAAAATTAAAAAATTAGCTGGGCATGGTGATGTGTGCCTGTAGTCCCAGCCACTTGGGAGGCTGAGGCAGGAGGATCTCTTGAAGCTCAGGAGCTTGAGGCTGCAGTGAGCTAGGATTGCCCCACTGCCCTTCAGCCTGGATGACAGAGTGAGACCTTGTCTCTAACAAAAGAAAAAGAAAAAAAAAAAAAAGAAAAAGAAAAAGAAAGCCAGGAGTCCTGGGTTCCTGGTGCCTTTTGCTCTGAGACCTCTGCGAGGCCGACCAAGGACAGAATGACCTTCCTGTGTAATAGGGAGGCATCCTGAGGCCTGGGTGGGACCCTCTGGGTGTTGCCTTTGGATGGGGCAAGGTGAAAGGATGTCTGAATCAGTGCACACAAGTGTCCCGTTTCCAGATCCTGAGAGCCACTGGCTTTCCTCCAGGGGAGCCTCAAGTCTCATGCCCCCTTGGGAGCTGCAGGGTGGGAGGCTGGAGTAGGGGAGCCTCTATATAGGAGGGGTAAGTATGGTGTAAAAATGCAAGCAGTGGGTCCTCTGCTTACATTTACTTTGGGGGTGCAGTTTTATTTTAAAATGTCCAGAGGGAAAAGAAAGGCTTGACTTTTTAAAGACACTCTTGGCAAAAGCCAATGTTTTTCAACCATTGGACGAAGCTTGCCTGCCTAATGAGCAATCTGTAGAAATTGATGCATAAAAGGCATTGCTAAGTAAAGAAGAGGAGGTAGAGATCGATGAGGGCACCAAGCTGGTGCCACAAGAACTCCTTAGTCAAGTTGAAACAAAAGCTCCCATAGCAGCACATGTGCTAGGCTCCTTTTCTGTTTGAGAAGCAGCAAGATGAAATCATGGTACATCTCTAGGGCATGAAGAGTTAAACTTTTCTTTTGTTTTCTTTTTTTTTTTTTTTTTTTTGAGAAGGAATCTCGCTCTGTCGCACAGGCTGGAGTGCAGTGGTGTGATTTCTGCTCACTGCAAGCTCTGCCTCCCGGGTTCACGTCATTCTCCTGCCTCAGGGTCCCGAGTAGCTGGGACTACAGGCACCCGCCACCACACCCAGCTATTTTTTTTTTTTTTGTATTTTTTAGTAGAGACGGGGTTTCACTGTGTTAGCCAGGATGATCTCGATCTCCTGACCTTGTGATCCGCCTGCCTCAGCTTCCCAAAGTGCTGGGACTACAGGCGCTCGCCACCACGCCCAGCTAATTTTTTGTATTTTTAGTAGAGACGAGGTTTCACCATGTTGGCCAGGCTGGTCTCGAACTCCTGACCTCAGGTGATCCGCCTGCCTTGGCCTCCCACAGTGCTGGGATTACAGGCGTGAGCCACTGCGCCCAGCCTTTTTTTTTTTTTTTTTTCCTTTTTTCATTATTATTTTTAGAGACAGGATCTCACCATGTTGCCCAGTCTTGTCTTGAACTCCTGGACTCAAGCAATCCTTCTGCTTCAGTCTCCCAAAGTGCTGAGATTATAGGTGTGAGCCATTATGTCTGGCTTCTTTTTCTTTTCTTTTTTTTTTCATTTTTAAAGAGAGATGAGGTTTTGCTATGTTGCCCAAATTGGAGTGCAGCGGCTATTCACAGGTATGATCATGGCTCACTGCCACCTTGAACTCCTAGGCTCAAGCAGTCCTCCTCCTGCTCAGCCTCCCTAGTAGCTTGGACTATAGGTTCACACCACCACACCTGGCTAGTTAAACCTTTTCTAGGACAATTTTCTCTGAAGAGAAAGTCCAGTCATGGCCATATTTCTTTTTTTTTTTTTTTGAGACAGAGTCTCACTTTGTCGCTAGGCTGGAGTGCAGTGGCGTGAACTCGGCTCACTGCAACCTCTGCCTCCCGGGTTCAAGCGATTCTCCTGCCTCAGCCTCCTGAGTAGCTGGGACTACAAGCGCGCACCACCAAGCCCCGCTAATTTTTGTATTTTTAGTAGAAATGGGGTTTCACCACGTTTGCCAGGGATGGTCTCGATCTCTTGACCTTGTGATCTGCCCGCCTCGGCCTCCCAAAGTGCTGGGATTATAGACGTGAGCCACCGCGCCCAGTCCATGGCCATATTCCTAATCCTGGCTGCACAGTGCAAAATTAACGGGGCAGGGAGGCCCAGACCACAGCCAGACTGATGACGTCAGACCAGGTGAAGCTCCCCAGGTGACTGTAAGGGGCAGTCAAAGGTGAGAAACTGAGAAATCTGAGCTGGGGCCTCATGGGAGCCTGGGGGATTGTTAATGACAGCTGTCATGTCCCAAGCGGTTTCTTTGCACCAGACAGTGTGCTAATAAGTGAGCACGTTATCTGCGTTCTCTAATGTAATCCTCACTCCATGAGCAAAGTGCTTTGAATTTGTTCATTTGACAGGTGAGGACTGGAGTAACTGACCTAAGGGCACCCAGATAGAAAGAGGTATGTATCCCAGGTCTCTGTAACTCAACATGAGCTCTAACCCTCAGGGTAAAGCCGCCCCATGGGGAAAGTCTTGGGGGCTTGCTGGGAGAATGGGAATGCCAAGGATGGATTGGAACCAAGAGCTTGTCAGCACTCAAAGTATGGCCCTATCCCCCAACCCAGGTGGAAGAGCTGAGGTAAGATGCAGGAGTGATAAAGAACAGACAATATTCAGGAGGTACTAATTTAAAATATGTTAGATGCCTTTTTATTTCTTTCAACTTTAATCTGTATTTCTCTCTCAAGCATTTTTGTAGCCAGATATTTTGATTTCTTTAAATCTTATTCCAATCTATGTTTCCCTTTCTTTTTTTTTTTTTTAAATTAAAAATTTTTTGGCCCAGCCTGGTGGCTCGTGCCTGTAATCCCAACACTTTGGGAGGCCGAGGCAAGCGGATCACTGGAGGTCAGGAGTTCCAAAACCAGCCTGGCCAACATGGTGAAACCACTCCCCCGCACCCCGTCTCTACTAAAAAAATACAAAAATTAGCGGGCGTGTTGGCGCATGCCTGTAATCCCAGCTCCTCAGGAGGCTGAGGCAGGAGAATAGCTCGAACCCGGGAGGCAGAGGTTGCAGTGAGCCGAGATCACGCGACTGCAGTCCAGCCTGGGTGACAGAGTAAGACCCAGTCTCTACAAAGAAAAATAATTTTTTTTTCTTTGTAGAGACAGGGTTTCTGAGCCATCGTGTCTGGCCTGTTTCTAAAATATTTTTTTGTTGTCCTTTTTACATTTATTTTTTAAACTATGATAAATCACATATAACAAAATTTACCATCTTAACCATTGGAAGTCTATAGTTCAGTATTAAGCACATCACATTGTTGTACAGCCTTCACCATGATTTAGCCCCAGAGCCTTTTTCATTTTGCAAAACTGAAACTCTGAACCCAGTAAACAGTCACTCCCCATTCCCTCTCCCCGCCAGCCCCTGGTAACTCCATTGTCCTTTCTATCTCTATGAATTTGACTATACTAGGGACCTCATATAATTGGAATCATATACTTCCCCTCGTGTGATGGGCTTATTTAGCTTAGCATTTGAACATTTTTAATAGGCAACTAATTTCTGCTCTTCTTTTATGACAAGTTATTGATTCATAGAAAAATATGGACTGATCAGATGTGGCTGTTTTTTCTCACTTAATACATCTCTGGAAACTTAACACAGTAAATAGCCAGTGACATGAAAAGATCAAACTTTTAAAAAGTGACTCGTGGAGCAAACTGGGACTTCGGCAATCCCTTGGTATTTTTTTCCTTCTTTAAAAAAATCAAAAGATACAAGCTCCCCCAGAGTGCTTGTCAAGAATGAGTGGGAGGGGGGACCCAGGAAACTTGAAGGATACATTAAATTCTTTAAATAAATTCAGGAAGTAACATCCAGGAGTGGTTCACACCATTCATAAAATATACAGCTCCCTCCTAGAGAGAGAGGATTCAGTGTGATGTTTTTCCCCCTGAAATAAGCCCGCCCAGCTTCTCAGCACAGACTGTGTGATTCTTACACTGGGCAGCGCTGCTTCTTCAGGCCGGGCTGTCAGAGCAGGGACAATCCCAAGCCAAGTCACTGCTTTCAGTTTATCTCAGAGGGACCAGCATGTGCCTGGGCGATATTAGCACCTTCAGACTGGGAGCCTTCGGAAGGGTTCTGCCAGCATTCTGGGAAGGCGATTTTTTTTTTTTTTTTTTTTTTGAGATGGAGTCTTGCTCTGTCGCCCAGGCTGGAGTGCAGTGGCACAATCTCGGCTCACTGCAGGCTCCGCCTCCCGGGTTCACGCCATTCTCCTGCCTCAGCCTCCTGAGTAGCTGGAAATACAGGCGCCCGCCACCACGCCTGGCTAATTTTTTGTATGTTTTTTAGTAGAGACGGGGTTTCACCGCGTTAACCAGGATGGTCTCGATCTCCTGACCTCATGATCCGCCCGCCTCGGCCTCCCAAAATGCTGGGATTACACGCATGAGCCACCGCACCCGGCCTGGGAAGGCGTTTTTGTAAGGCAGATTGGCAACTGGACATTTGCATTTGGCTTCATCATCCATCATTGTATGTTTTTTGGCTTGGGCTGGAGGGCATATTTGATTTAAATGTAATAGTTAATGACTGAGTGGAACAACTGAGATCTGTCAAGATTAACTGTTGAGCAGTCAGCTGAAATGTGTGGGAATGTGAGTCTGCAGGAAGCTCAAGTTCAAAGTCTGCGACCTTCCTTTCCCGTTGACATGGTAAAATCCTGTTACAGTGCTCGAGTCAGAGGACAAGATGGCACCTACTGTAGTGGATATTTGTGGTCTGTTGTCTCTGATTCTCCTTCTTCTGGTAACGACACTTCCATTTTTCTTTGGGGAACCACAGATGCAGTGGGTTCATTGGAAAATGAGTGAACTATTGGTTGGAGCTGGTTTGAGTTTGGTTAGAACCAGGCCTCTCCTAAATCCCTCTCACTACAGTGAACCAGAAATGGACATGTCACCCAAGCTGGGTTCATGAGCTTCTTCCCTCCCTAGGACCTTTTGCTGTATAGTTTGGCAAAGAAATGCTTTCTTCCCCTGGGGTTGTTAAAGCTAGGAAGATTATAAACTTGGAGCTGCCATGACCATCTTTGGTAATACTTGGGAAGCACCTGAGAATGAAGCTAGCAAAAAACAAACAAAAACCGCAAACAAACAAACAAAACGGAGCCGCGACCCTTGTTCAAGTGCTTGGATCCATCTGCAACTGAAGGCCAGACACTCTTGAACTTCCAAGTTATATGAGCCAATAAATACTGCCATGCCTTCGTCTGTGTGTGTGTGTGTGTGTGTGTGTGTGTGTGTGTGTGTATGGTTTCAATTTCTATGGCTTCCAACTTACTGCATCCTGTCAAAAACAGCCATATTATGACCAGGTGTGGTGGCTCATGCCAGCAGTTCCCGCTACTTGGGAGGCTGAGGTAGGAGGATTGCTTGAGGCCAGGAGTTTGAGGTTTTAGTGTTTTATGATTTTGCCTGTGTGAAGCCACTGCTATTCAGCCTAGGCAACATAGTGAGACCCATCCCTGAAATAAACGACAAGCAAAGCACATACTTCCTTAACTTTCTATATTATAGTTAGAGGAAAATGTCATATTGCGCACCTGTGATGTGATCTGCCTGGTGGCAAGGGTGAGCCCAGGCAGTCATGGTGAGATTACAGAGGTTTGGTATGCCGTGGAGAGACCACTAGACAGGGAGCTGGGATTCACAGGCTCTAGGTGCCTTTCTTCTTCCTGGCTAGGTAACCTGGGCAAGTCTCTTAAGCTTTCTCAGCCTCAGCTCTCAACATCTGTAAAACAGAGGAATTAAACTAGGTGATCTTCGAAGTCGCTTTTAGCTCTATATGGTCCTGTAACTGTTTTATTTAATATCTGTGTTTTAAATGGGCAGTAGAAATAGGGACAAAATCAAAGAGAAACAATTAAAAATACCCCCTAGATCTCTACGAATTGCTTGAAGATCCACCTTTTTTTTTAATACAATTTTTAGTGTAAATTTTTTAAGTTGAAGTGTAACCTACATACAGAAGAACGGTCATACCTGGCCAGACAGGGTCGCTCATGCCTGTAATCCCAGCACCTTGGGAGGCTGAGGTGGGTGGATCGCTTGAGCTCAGGAGTTCAAGACCAGCCTGGGCAATATGGGGAAACCCTGTCCCTACAAGAAATTAGCTAGGTGTGGTGGCACGCACCTGTAGTGCCAGCTACTCAGGAGGCTGAGGTGGTTGGATTACTTGAGCTCAGGAGTTCAAGACCAGCCTGGGCAATATGGGGAAACCCTGTCTCTACAAAAAAATTAGCTAGGTGTGGTGGCATGCACCTGTAGTCCCAGCTACTCAGGAGACTGAGGTGGGAGGATCACTTGAGCCTGGGAGGCAGAGGTTGCAGGGAGCCAAGATCGTGCCACTGCACTTCAGCCTGGGCGACAGAGTGAGACACTGTCTCAAAAAAAAAAAAAAAAAGGTCACACTTCATGTGTATAGTTTGATGCGTTTTCATAAACTGGGAACACTCTTGTAATGAGCATCTACGTCAGACACGGAACTTACCCAGGACCTAAGAAACCTTCTCTCCAAGTCAGTACTCTCTTCCAAAGGTGACCCCGATCTTGACTTCTAGATTGTGTAATAATTTTGCTTGGTTTTAAATTTTACATAAACTGAGCATAGAGAAGTTATTCTTTTTGGTGATGGAGGTTGGGGGGGGTGCATCTGGCTTTTCTCACTTAACACCTTGTTTGTGAGATTCACCTATATTATGGGTGGCAGTAGTTCATTCTCATTGCTGTGTAGTGTGTCACCCTATGAATAAATACACCATCAATTATTTATCCTACTCTTGGATCTTTGGGTTCTTTCATACTATTATGAACAGTGCTACCTTGAACATTCTCGTACATGTTTTTGGTGGACGAAAGCTCTCATTTGTGTTGGGTATTCACCTAGGGGTAGGATTGCTAGGTCATAGAATATGTGTATCATATGTTTACTCTTGGGAAATACTACCAAATAGTGTTCCACTCCCACTGGCACTGTCTGTGACTTCTCATAGTTCTACATCCTTGTCTGTGTGTGCCATTGCTGGTTTTACAGATTTTAGTCATTTGGGTGAACGTGTAGGGGTCTCACATTGTGCGTGTGTGTTATCTTTAATATATATATATATATATATATATATATATATGTTTTAGAGACAGTGTCTCACTCTGTTGTCCACGCTGGAGTGCAGTGGTGTGATCTTGGCTCACTGCAGCCTCCACTTCCTGGGCTCAGGTGATGATCCTCTCACCTCAGCCTCCCGAGTATCTGGGACTACATGTGCATGCCACCATGCCCAGCTAATATTTTGTATTTTTTAGAAGAGATGAGGTTTCACCATGTTGCCCAGGCTGATCTTGAACTCCTCAGCTCAAATGATCCTCCCACCTTGGCCTCCCAAGGTGCTGAGATTACAGGTGTGCCCCACTGTGCTTGGCCTCTTTACCTTTTTAATTAGCAATTTTTCAGAATTTTATTATGAAAAATTTGAAGAGTTGCAAGAATTACAGTGCACACTTATATACCCATCATCAGATTCCGCCATTAACATTTTCTTATACTTGTTTTATTGCATATCTAACCTTCTATCCTTCCATCAATCGTATTTTTTTGGAAACATTTCAAAGTAAGTTGAGAACAGCAGTATACTTCATTCTAAGGAGTTCAGTATACAGAGCATTAACTTACATACAGTGTAATGCACATATCTTTTTTTATTTTTCTTTTTATAGAGGTGGGATCTTGCTATGTTACCCAGGCTGGTCTTGAACTCCTGGCCTCAAGTGACTCTCCTACCTCGGCCTCCCAAAGTGTTGGGATTACAGATGCGAGCCCCCTGCACCTGGCCTTGTTTTTTTTTTTTTTTTTTTTTTTTACCAAAAAAAGAAAAAACAGGATTGGCCGGGTGCGGTGGCTCACGCCTGTAATCCCAGCGCTTTGGGAGGCCGAGGTGGGTGGATCACAAGGTCAGGAGATCGAGACCATCCTGGCTAACACGGTGAAACCCCGTCTCTACTAAAAAAATACAAAAAAATTAGCCAGGTGTGGTGGCGGACGCCTGTAGACCCAGCTACTAGGGAGGCTGAGGCAGGAGGATGGCATCAACCTGGGAGGCAGAGCTTGCAGTGAGCCGAGATTGTGCCGCTGCACTCCAGCCTGGGTGACAGAGCGAGACTCCGTCTCAAAAAATAAAAATAAAATAAAATAACAGGATTTTGTTCTGTTGCCTAGGCTGGAGCGCAGTGGTACGATCATAGCTCACTGGAACCTCAATCTCCTGGGCTCAAGCAATCCTCCCATCCCAGCCTCCTAGAGTAGCTGGGACTGCAGGTGGATACCACCATGTCCAGCCTACGAGTACCTATATGCTTACTGGCCATCTGGGTTTCACATGTGTGTGAAATTGTGTGTGTCTAAGGGTGATATGCCTAAGGGTGATATGTCTAAGGGTGGCTTTTAAATTTTTTGCGGGGAGGGTGAAGAGTCCAGTTGACTGACGGGAGGACCAAGGGTATATTCATGTGACAAACCTGGTTCCAAAGTGTCTACTATTAACTGGAAGCAGATTCTCACACCTACAAGGCTTCCCAGTGTCAGGAGCCAGGAAATGCTGGTTTGTTAAAACTCAGCCCAAAATTGGGCAGAGCAGTGAAATTTCCAAGCATGATGCTCAAAGCCTTATCTTCTAATCATTTCCAGTTATGTAACTTTTTTTTCCAACGAGTGTCAGTCTAGCAGGATAACACAAAATCATTAGCAGATTTATAAAGCGGTTTGACCAACGGCTGCCAGAGGAAGTGTGACTTTGAGTTCCCCACGTAGGCGTCAGACTTGTCTTCATATTGAAAGGCAGGGGAGTTGGTGCAAAGAAGGGTGTTCCCGGGGGCAGTTGACAGTAATGGATCTTTAAAAAAATTATTCCCCTCGTCAGCTCCAAGGTTGGCAGGCCTTGCACTTCAGGGTGTCAGGCCCTGTCCCCAGCCCCTTTCCTAGGCTGAGGACTCTGGGTTTGCTGCGGGTTTGTAAGCCGTGGGTGTTTCCTCCTTCTCCCAGGGGTCCCATGTGTCAAATCCTGTGACTGGGCATGTGTGGCCTTGTCATGATGCATGGGTCTGTGTCCGGGGAGGAGCAGGGCCACCCACATCCTCATTTGGCTTTCTGTTTCTTCTCAGATGTCATTTTGTGAAGGAGCCACCGACCAAGGCCTGGTTAGGAGGAAGTGGTCACCAAAATACTTTGGTGTCCAGGGCTTGCAGAGAGCTTGTCCTCAGTGGCTGTGTCTGAACTCCACTATTGAGGGTGCCTGGAGGGGGATCTTGATTGGGAAGGCAGTGGGGAGTTTGAAGGAGGGGCTGTTTATAGAGGCTTGAGCAGGGTAGAGGATGGGGAAGCACGCCCAGAGAGGGGAAAAGGGAGGGAGGCCTGCAGCAGGAGGGGGCCGACTGCTCTAAAGAAGCCACTGCTACTCCCAACCCCAGCCTGCAGCCTGCAGCCTGCTAGGAGGGAACTGGTGAAAATACCCCAACCTCGCTTTCCTCATGAACCTTCATCTCCTACCTATGACTTTCAGTGGCCAAATTGTCTTTCACTGTAGCCAGAGGGTGCGAGGGTCCCTGGAGTCCCTGTGGGTCAGCCTTCTGGTGCAGGAGCTGCAGGAGAAGGGCCAAAGCTAGCTCCCGACAGGCAAGTGGAGAGTCACCAGCCCAGAGATGTTTCTAGAGCTTTGTCCCATGTTAAAACACAAAATTATTTGCTCTGGGAGAATATATTTAAAACTTCTCTTGACGAGTTTGGAAGAGAGCTTTGGCCTAGGAACTGATCTGAAATTAAATGCAGACATATGGGGTGGGGGATCTTGTTCATAAAGATCCTCCTCCTGCCTGGCTTGAGTCAAGAAACAGGCGAAGGGCACCCATGGCTGTGGCATGGAGGGCTAGGACAACAGAGACACTTTGCAGGAACATGGGTTTAGGAGGTGGAATGCCAGAATGGGCTCCCCAGGGTAGAGGTTTGGAGAAATCTGCTTACGAAGGAAATATTATCAAGGACCAAAAAAGTGATGGAAAGAGAGGGACATTGTGGCGGAGCTAAGGATGGGTGGAGCAAGAAGAAAAAGTCAGAGTTGGGAAAGAAGCTAGGTCGGAGTTAGAGAATCTCGTCTCTAGGCTGGGGCAATGGAACAAGTAAGGAAGTCAGTTGCATGGTTGGAAGAGAATGTATTCCCTTCGAACCTGACTCTTGGTGAGGGTTGCTCATCCATGCCTGTGTGGCATAGTGGTTCAGAGAGTGCGGGGTGTCAATGCCAGCTGTACTACTTACTAGCTGTGAGTCCCTGGGCAGATTACATAACCTTTCTGTATCTCAGATTTCTCATCTGGAAATAGGACCATTATAATACATGTCTCTTAGGGTTATTTTAAGGATCAAATGAGTAAATACAGGTAAAACTTTAAACCACTGCTGTATATTTAACCCTTAGGGTCTCCGACACTGTCATGAAGGCTGCCTCTGAACAGGAGAGGACTGAGTGGACCAGTTTTGGGATGGGAGTGGGAGGACCAGAAGAATGGTACCGCCAGGGAAGAGAAAATGGGAGGGAGGCCATGGTCTAAATTGATCCCTGACATAGCGGTGGGAAATGAGCCAAGGAAACTGGCTTGAACTAGCTTCTATTTGGAGGCTGGCCATTTGCTGCAGAGACAGTTATTTGAAGCTCACGAGTCATTCACACATTATTACAAATACTTTTATGAGGACCTTTGGTTTCTGAATAGGGCAGAGCTGGGGGTGAGCCTGAAAACATGGCTATCAGAAGGAAGAGTCTTGGGAGAAGGGAAGTGGAGGGAGAGGAATTGTTTTTACTTTAATATTTCTTGTCTTAAAAAGAGTTATTGGTGGCCGGGCACGGTGGCTCACACCTGTAATCCCAGCACTTTGGGAGGCCGAGATGGGTGGATCACCTGAGGTCAGGAGTTCGAGACCAGCCTGGCCAACATGGTGAAACCCCATCTCTACTTAAAATACAAAAAATTAGCTGGGTGTGTTGGTACGCACCTGTAATCCCAGGTACTCGGGAGGCTGAGACAGGAGAATCGCTTGAACCCGGGAGGCGGAGGTCGCAGTGAGCCGAGATCGTGCCACTGCACTCCAGACTGGGGGACAAGAGTGAGACTTTGTCTCAAAAAAAAAAAAAGAGTTATTGGTTTAGTAGGATTTAGGGATGGAGGTTCCCATGCAGACTGTGGACATGGGTTTTGTGTGTGTGTGTGTGTGTGTGTGTGTGTGTGTGTGTGTGTGTAGCCTGGGGTTGGGGATTGGGGTAATGGTAGCTCCACCTTTATGAAGCGTTTCTCCAGGACACACTTTTCCTGAACACAGTGCAGTGAGCACCACTTTTCACCTATAGTGAAGGTGTTTTCTAGCTGGCTGGGGAGCATCACCCATAGACAGCATGATACAGTTGTTAAGAGCACAGGGAAACCAGTGGGTTTGGACTGAGTTTTGAATCTCTGCTCAGTCACTCTGTTTTTCTTTCTTTCTTTTTGAAAAATAGAGATGGGCGGTTGGGCGGCAGTCTCACTATACTGCCCTGGCTGGTCTCAAACTCCTGGCCTCAAGTGATCCTCTGGCCTCAGCCTCCCAAAGTGATGGGATTACAAGCGTCAGCCACTATGCCTGGCCTGTGAATTTTTTTTTTTTGTTTTTCTTGAGACAAGGCCTCACCCTGTCATCTAAGCTGGAGTGCAGTGGCATGATCACTGCTAACTGCAGTCTCGACCTCCTGGGTTCAAGCAATCCTCCCACCTTGGCCTCCTGAGTAGCTGAGACCACAGATGTTTGCTACCATGCCTGGCTAAATTTTTAATTTTATTTCTTGTAGAGACAAGGTCTCTCTATGTTGCCCAGGCTGGTCTTAAACTCCTGAGCTCAAGTGATCCTCCTGCCTCGGCCTCCCAAACTGTCTGGATTACAGGCATGAGCCATCAGACCCAGTTTGGCCTGTGTGAATTTTTAATATGTATATTTTAATATATATTTTAATCAAAGACTACAGTTAACCAGCATTTATATTCTATTTGCCAAAAAGGCAAGAGTCTCAGCATATTTTTACTTTCCTTTCTATCTTTTCTCTACCATGTCCCATGATGAAATTATTTGGAATTATAGATCCAGATTACATTATTATTGTGTTTATTACCTCAAACTCCTGGGCTCAAGCAGTCCTCCTGCCTCAACCTTCCAAGTAGCTGGGACTACAGGTGCATACCACCACACCCAGCTAAATTACATTTTAAAACTTGTTGTTTTTATAGAGATGAATCTTTTTATGTTGCCCAGGCCGGTCTTGAACTCCAGGCCTCAAGTGATCCTCCCATCTTGGCCTCCCAAAATGCTGGGATTACAGGCATGAGCCACCTCACCTGGCCTGCTTGGTCACTCTGACCTGCAGGAAGTTGCTCAAACCTTTTGGTACATCAATTTCCTCATCTGTAAAATGGGCATGATAGTGGGACTTATTTCATAAAATAGGAAAAGTAAATGAATGATTTAATACATGTAAATAATTTAAAAGAACAATACTAATTTAAAAAACATTATTATTTTATTCTTCTACTCATTTCTTACGGATTCCTTCTGTTCCAGCCAGTCAGGCTTCAGGTTTCTCATTGATTTCTTTTTTTTTTTTTTTTTGTGAGTCAAAGAGTCTCACTCTGTCACCCAGGCTGGAGTGCAGTGGCATGATCTCAGCTCACTGCAACCTGTGCCCCCTGGGTACAAGCAATTCTCCTGCCTCAGCCTCCCAAGTAGCTGGGTTACAGGCACCCGCCACCACACCCGGCTAATTTTTGTATTTTTAGTAGAGATGGGGTTTCACCATATTGGCCAGGCTGGTCTCTTGGCCAGGCTGGTCTTGAATTCCTGACCTCGTGATCTGCCTACCTCGGGCTCCCAAAGTGCTGGGATTACAGGCGTGAGCCACCACGCCCAGTGTTTTTTTTTTGAGACGGAGGCTTGCCGTGTCACCTGGGCTGGAGTGTAATGGCGTGATCTTGGCTCAGTGTAACCTCCTCCTCCTGGGTTCAAGCAATTCTCCTGCCTAAGCTACCCTGAGTAGCTGGGATTACAGGTGCCCGCCACTATGCCCAGCTAATTTTTTTTTTTTTTTTTTTTTGTATTTTTAGTGGGGATGGGGTTTTACCATGTTGGTCAGGCTGGTCTCAAATTCCTGACCTCAGATAATCCACCCGCCTCCCAAAGTGCTGGGTATTACAGGTGTGAGCCACTGTGCCCAGCCAGGTTTCTCATTGATTTCTGAAGAAGTGTAAGAAATGGCCACGCACCTACCCTTGCTTGGCCTGTCTGGCCCTCCTCACCATCTCCCTGCATCCTGCAAAGTCCTCCTCTAGAAACTCTTGCTCATCTTCAGCTCTCAGGGCCTTGTCTTCCTTGGGAGGAGGCACCTAAGCGGCACCTGCACATGCCACCCTGAATTGACAGATTGGAGCATTTATGTTAATATAGAGAGGCCTTGAAGGCTGCGTCTCCTCCTCTGCCATCTTGCTCTCCACCGTCATGTTTAACATGGCCCCTTGCACACGGCAGCAGTGGACGAGGCACTGGACTGGGGGAATGTCTATCTGGAGTCACATCTTGGCTGTGTGACCTTGAATGAGTCACTCGGTCTAGGTGGGTCTCCTTTTGTCATGTGTGAAATTAAGCTAAGTACTGGGAACTCTAAGGGTTAAGAGCTAATGCACGCACAGTCAATTCTTCACTGGGAAGTGATGCTTTACAAAGTCAAGGTATTGTGATGAATCCTTCTGTGTTCCGCCTGCATGCCTTAGACGGTGCTGAGCACAGAATCGTTCCTCAATAAGATTCTCTTGGGGAGTCGATTGCTGACTAAAGTGGATTGGTACAGCTTCTGTTTTGATCTGCCTGTCATAATGTTCTATCTCCCATCTTTTCGGGGAACTTCCCTATTCTCACCCCGCCATGTGACTTTGGTGGGGCTTGTCAACCAAGATACGTTGCTAAGTTGGGAGGAAGTTACCAGTGGCTCTCTAGTTGGGGCAGAGTCCACCTACACGTGACAGCCAGTCAGAGGTGAGAGAAGATGTCCTGTAGACATTGTGTGAGTCCCTGGAACCAGGCATCACTGAACTCCAGTGATGCATGCTGATAAATCCTCCTTTGTGTTGGCTTAAACTTGTGGATTGGATTTCTGCCACTGGCAACTGAAAGTCCTGGCTCTCTTTTCCTTCCATTTTGGAATGCAGCAGTGATTCTCTCTCTTCTTCCATTAACAAAGGGAAACTGAAAGGGTGTCAGAAGTAAAAGTCAAAACTGGAAAACTTTATTTAGGTTGGGTTATGGTGGCTCGTGCTTGTAATCCTAGCACTTTGGGAGGCCGAGGCAGGAGGAGCGCTTGAAGCCAGGAGTTCAAGACTAGCTTGGGCAACATTAGGGAAACCCTTTCTCTGTAAAAAATAAAAAAAGTAGCTGGGCATGGTGGTGTACACCTGTAGCCCTAGCTATTCAGGAGGCTTAGGTGGGAGACTCACTTGAGCCAAGGATGTCAAGGTTGCAGTGAGCCATGATCATGCCATTGCACTCCAGCCTGGATGACAGAGTGAGGCCCTATCTGTAAATAAATAGATAGATGGTAGGTAGGTACGTAGATTGATGATAGACTCTTATAATCACATTAAATGCTGTCATTAAATGACGTAGAATAATATTTAATAACAAGATAAAATATCACCAAGAAAAATGAACATGTGACAGTTTTGTTAGAAAACAGTATTGTTAGAAAACAATACTTAAAAGAGGCTTCATCTGAGCTTCATCAGTGACAAGTATTTAAAAAAAAAACAAAAACAAAAACAAGCAAACGAAACCCTTTAACTTGGTATGTTGGCCTGTGCCTATAGTCCCAGCTACTAGCAGGGCTGAGGCAGGAGAACCACTTGAGCCCAGGAGTTTGAAATCAGCTTGGGCAACAGAGCAAGACCCCATCTCTAAAAAAAAATAACCAAACTTAAAAAAAGAAGAAGTCTGACATCTGGAAATATGCTTTTAAGTCAGGTCCAGGGAACCTCAGAACCAGCCTCAGTTCACAGGCTTCTACTTTTTTGTAGAGCACTTGCTGGGTGTCAAGCTTTGTTCTATTCTTTTTAATCCTAACAACAACTTCATGCGTTAGGTTCTACTATTGTCCCCATTTTACAGGTGGGGAAACTGAGGCACAGAAGTAAAGTGACTTGCTCACTTATGGTCACACCATGATGATGCCTGGATTGAATGAAATTTAACAGCCTTGGCCAGGTGCGGTGGCTCACGCCTGTAATCCCAGCAGCTTGGGAGGCCGAGGTGGGTGGAGCATTTTAGGTCAGGAGTTCGAGACCAGCCTGGCCAACATGGTGAAACCCTGTCTGTATTAAAAATATAAAATTAGCTGGGCGGTAGTGATGCATGCCTGTAATCCCAGCTACTCGGGAGGCTGAGGCAGGAGAATTGCTTGAGCCTGTGAGGCAGAGGTTGCAGTGAGCCGAGATCGTGCCACTGCACTCCAGTCTGGGCAAGAGAGTGAGACCCTGTCTAAAAAAAAAAAAAAAAGAAATGTAACAGCCTCATTACTGAGTCCAGATGACTCCAATTTGCTGCCTCTCATAGGTGTTCATTCAACAACTTCTATAGGCAAGGAGAAAAGTTACATTTCAAAAGCCCACTACCTTCACTGTATCCATTTACACTTTGTGTGTGTGTGTGTGTGTGTGTGTGTGTGTGTGTGTACTTAACCAGTTGAGAGAAAGAAAGAAAGAGAAGAAAAGGAGAGGAAGAAAAGGAAAGAGTCAAAGGGGAATGGGCGGAAGGGAGAAAGGAAAACGGAAAGTTGAAGTGTGCAAGAGAGTGCCTGGGGTTTGAGGTTGGAGGTCAGATGAAATCAACGTAAATGTCACAACCACACTTCCTCTTGGGAGTTGGTGAATGAGTCATCACCTGGTATGCTGCCCTTTTAATTCCTGATTAGTTGGTTAACCACTATTTCTAGGTCTTTAAAAAATAGTTAATATTTTTTTCTTTATTGAGATGTTATTCACATAACGTAAAACTCAGCTCTCTACAGTATACAGTTCAGTGGTTTATAGTATATTCACTGTGTAGTATTCTAATATATTCACTAACTGCAGAACACTTCCATCACCTCAGAAAGAAACCCCTTCCCTGTTAGCTGTCACTCCCCATTCACCCCATCTCCTTACCCCTAACAACCAACAACTACTAATCGATTTCTGTCTCTGTGGATTTGCCTATTCTAGGCATTTCATAGAAACAGAATAATGTTACATGATATCTGGCCTTTTGTGTCTGGCTTATTTCACTTAGTGTAATGTTTTCGAGGTTTATCTGTATTGTAACATGCATCAGCACTTCATTCCTTTTCATGGCTGAATAATATTCCATTATCCCGATATGCCACGTTTTACCTGTCCATCAGTGGATGGACATGTGAATTGGTTATACTTTCTAGCTATTGTGAATAATGCTGTGACAAACATTGGTGTACAAGTTTTTTTGTGGGACATGTTTTCAGTTCTCTTGGGTCTCTAGCTAGGAGTGGAATTACTAGATTGTATGAGGACTCTGTGCTTAATAAAGAACTGCCAAACTGTTTCTACCTCTTTTCCACCTCTAATCCTCAAATGGAATTGATGGAAAGTCACAAAAATATAAGTTGGTTTTTGTGTTCTTCGGCTGCAGTATCCTAAAATTCTATAAGGTGAGATATGTTATTTCAAAATGGGGCCGGGCGCGGTGGCTCACGTCTGTAATCCCAGCACTTTGGGAGGCCAAGGCGGGTGGATCAACTGAGGTCAGGAGTTTGGGACCAGCCTGGCTAATGTGGCAAAACCCTGTCTCTACTAAAAATACAAAAATTAGTTGGGCATGGTGGCGGGCACCTGTAATCCCAGCTACTCTGTAGGCTCAGGCAGCAGAATCGCTTAAACCCAGGAGATGAAGGTTGAAGTGAGCCAAGATCGCACCACTGCACTCCAGTCTGGGTGATAGAGCAAGACTCTGTTTCAAAATAAATGAATAAATAAAACAAAATAAATACATAAAAATGAACAAAAATGGATCCTCTTCTATTTAGGCTGACATGCCTTGCAGCAACCTTCTGGAGCAGGAAGATGGTTTATTGGATCATATGGGCCAGGGTTCTCCATCATTTATTCATCATCCAGTTGACCTGATACCGTTCTGTTCAAGAGAGGATTCTTTTTTTTTTTTTTTTTGAGGCGGAGTCTTTCTCTGTCGCCCAGGTTGGAGTGCAGTGACACCATCTCTGCTCACTGCAAGCTCCGCCTCCCAGGTTCATGCCATTCTCCTGCCTCAGCCTCCGGAGTAGCTGGGACTGCAGGCACCCGCCACCATGCCCAGCTAATTCTTGTATTTTTAGTAGAGATGGGGTTTCACCGTGTTAGCCAGGATGGTCTCGATCTCCTGACCTCGTGATCCGCCCACCTCAGCCTCCCAGAGTGCTGGGATTACAGGCGTGAGCCACCGCGCCTGGCCTTTTTTTTTTTTTTTCTTGAGTGTTTCTCTGTTGCCCAGGCTGGAGTGCAGTGGTGCAATCTTGGCTCACTGCAACCTCCGCCTCCCGGGTTCGAGTAATTCTCCTGTCTCAGCCTCCAGAGTAGCTGGGACTACAGGCATGCACCACCACGCCTGGCTAATTTTTTTTTTTTTTGTAATTTTAGTAGAGACGGGGTTTCACCATATTGGCCATGCTGGTCTTGATCTCCTGACCTTGTGATCCACCCACCATGACCTCCCAAAGTGCTGGGATTGCAGGTGTGAGCCGCTGCGTCTGGCTCTTAACTGAGAGAGGATTCTTAACCAGCAGCAAACAGTTATCCAAGGGATGCAGGTGAAGAAAGGTCTAGGTTAACCGAAACCAACGAGGCAGCTTTTCACCCCACAAAAATAACCTCCAACACCAGAACACAACCAAGAAACATAAAAGTGCAAAAAAACTGTGTTCTTTTTTTGACTCCCTCTTTCTCAAGCTCCTAAATCAAAAATGCCTGTGCTAGCCAATAATTGATGTTCACGTGTGCTTTATGATTTTTCAGGTGCTCTCACATGAGATACATGATCGGCTCTCACAGCAGCTCCTTGAGCTCCAACAAGCAGTTACTATTTCCATCATCTTGATTTTTCAGCTGGGGACATGGGAGGTTCAGAATTTGTGATTTGCGGCCAGGTTAGGAAGTGGCAGTTGGTAAAAGACAGACTTGGCATTCAGACCTTTTGACTTGGAGTTCTGTACTCTTTTTATTATGAGCTCTTGGCAGTGTTCACACCGTTTTAAAAAATCTAGATAAAGGTACTCTGATTTTTTCCCCCAAGATTCACATTAATAGAGTTTGAGCTTGGCTTTGGGAAGCTTCGATAAACATCATATTTGGATCTTTGGCATGAGAGAGAAATGCCGTGTTGTACCCTTGATCCCAACACGTGTGTACAAGCCCACTTGCCCAGTATATTTTTACAAGTGTATTTTCTGTGTTCATGCATGTGAGGTTTCTTAGCCCCCTTGGCTGATCTAAAAGCCTTACTTTTGAGCTGTAAGAGGCAATATTAGGATGTTCCTGTTATTTTGAGTAGCTAGTAAATTCCAGACTGGTGGAGAGGCTCAGCTGTGGGCTCAAAAACCGTTTACAGAAACTTTGAGGATGTTTCCTTTTGTCTGCGTATTTTAGAAATCAGCTTAATTGAGGTTGTCTGAGCATTTTTGTAAATTTCAGAGAGGCAGTTGTGTATTATACTTCGCTGTGATTAAACACGCAGACACATACACGCCACCCTCTGCCCCCACCCAAGCCCCACTGCTGGCTTTGCCTGGAAGTATGAAAACACCTATTTGTTTATTCAAAAGCCATAAACCAGGCACACAGTGGAATATGTGCAAGTATGTTGAACAAAGTACTTTTCAGTGCTTAAAAGCTAATTGAGTAGGTATGGATCAGTAGTTTGTAATTAACATATTAAAAAAAATGGCAAACCATGTGACTAAGCATTTGAAGAGGGCTTTTGGCTTCTTTCTTGCTTACTGTAATTCTTGACTTAATAGGTAAATCTCAATTTCGAATGCCCACAGGAGTACAGATTCAGAGACAGTAGGTCCTAAATGAAGGAATTTTTATTGTCTAACTACAGGAAGACAGAGATCGTTTTTTTTATGAGACGGAGTCTCGCTCTGGCGCGATCTCAGCTCACTACAAACTCCGCCTCCCGGGTTTATGCCATTCTGCCTCAGCCTCCCGAGTAGCTGGGACTACAGGCACCCGCCACCACGCCCGGCTAATTTTTTGTATTTTTAGTAGAGATGGGGTTTCACCGTGTTAGCCAGGATGGTCTCGATCTCTTGACCTCGTGATCCGCCCGCCTCGGCCTCCCAAAGTGCTGGGATTACAGGTGTGAGCCACCGCGCCCGGCCAGAGATCTTTACGCTGTTAACCCTTGAGCATGGTTTAGCCTGTTTCATACTGAGGTGGTCAGTTTTGAAAGCGTCCAAGCTGAGAGAGCATCACAGTCTCCTGGAGGGAGTGTTTAAACCCTGATTGCTGGGCCTCCTCCCAGAGCTGCTGGTTCAGTAGGTTTGGAGTGGGGCTTGAACAACTGTACTTCTGGCAAGTTCCCAGGTGATTCTGGTGCTGCTGGTCTGTGGTCCACACTAAGTGGCGAGGCTCTGGAGGATTCACTCCCTGACTCTTGCGGGGACTTTGCCTTGTAAAGAAAGATGTGAAATGCAGTCATAATTGGGAAAACTTGGCCAGGACTTGCTCTCCAGGGCTGTCTTTGAGTGAGACATCTTTTCTAGGGTTGCCCCGGGAAGAAGGTGGGTTTGATGGACTGGTTGGGCACACTGGGCTATAAAAAGTGAAAACATTCCATTTCTTATCTGCGCCTTCAATTTAATACTAGTTTTGGGCCCAGATACCTCAAAGTTCTGGGATTATCTAACTTGGTTCTGTGGAAGTTCAGGGTGCCTTGGTGCTCGATGTGGACAGTTTTACCCCCGAGTTTGGGGAGAACCAGATGCTTCCTCTGCCTTCTTGCATGTGTGTGGATGCCTTTTCTGGATTTGTCCTCTGTAGCCACCATTCTCTCAAGGTCCATCAGCGCAGGACCTGATCCATGACAAGGGTCTGCTGGTTCAGAGGGCCTGGGCCTCACCCTCTGGAACCCTCCCACGAAGATCCTGGCTTTGGGACTACGGGGGCAAGTTCTCATTGTTGAGATGGTTGTTCTTGCTCCCACAAAAACAAAATAATGAGCCATTCCACTTCATTGAACTCCAGGGTTACTGCCCTTAGAGAGCTGGGAGGTGTCTCTCATTTCTGGGGGGGTCTTAGAATATATTGCTGTTTCCCCCTTCCCTCAGTTGACTCCTGGGCCATCTGCCCTGGCCCCTAAAGCCCACCTCCCCCACCTGGCCCAGCTATACTGTCCGTTCAGCAGCAAGCGTGGTTGTATCCCTGGCAGAAACAGCGGAACTGCCAATGCCCCCTGAACCCATGCCAGGATTGGGGCACAGATCCGGCTGCTGCTGCTGCAGGAACTCAGAACTTGGTCCTGGGGGGCCTGAGTGCTGTTTATCCTCAATGTTGCCCAGGACAGGCCACCAGGGCCTGGTTCTAGGGCCTTGTAAGGTTTCATCCAAGCCTCTACTGCCTCCTTCCTAGAGCTAACTTTTCTGACAGTGAGCGCCTGGAGAGCTCTTCGGGTCTTACACACTGCCTGAGCTTCCTCCAGTCACCTTTTCTTTAGATTCACCCAGGCATGACTTGCTCCAGAGGAACCCTGAAGTTCCATTTTCCTTCCTGTGTACTTTCCCCCGTGCTTCTCTGATATACAGAGAGTGTTTTCTTTCCTTTTGATGTGCACTTGAGCATTGAATGCAGGCGTCTCTGCGGTTCTTTTCCTTAGCAGTACCTGCCCCGGTGCTGCTGGCTGTCAGCCCCAGACACCAGGGCGTCTGCAGCCCTGAGCTGAGCCAGGCTGTCTGCCAGTGTGGGGCTGTGGATTTCTGTTGGTCTTCTCCTTTCTGCCTGGGGGCAGCAGCCATTCCTGCACCATGGCCCAGCCACCGTTTGGAACCTACTAACTCCTTCTGTCATGTATTGTTCCGTCCTTCCTCATCCAGTTGCCTGTCTCTGATTATGGTTTGGTTTCTAGAAGGTTCTAATCAGAGACGGGCAGGAACTATTGATCTGGCCTGTTGTACCTGCCATGCAGTTCTTACCTAGCTCAAAGACATAAAAGACTTTTTTTTTAGAAATGTAACAACTGGCCAGGCGCAGTGGCTCACGCCTGTAATCCCAGTGCTTTGGGAGGTCAAGGTGGGAGGATTGCTTGAGCCCAGGAGTTCAAGAACAGCCTGGGCAACATAGCAAGATCCTATCTCTAGAAAAAATGTTTTCCAAAATTATCTGGGCATGCTGGTGCATGCCTGTGGTCCCAACTACTTAGGGGGCTGAGGTGGGAGGATTGCCTGAGCCCTGGAGGTCAAAGCTGCAGTGAGCCGTGATTGCGCCACTGTACTCCAGCCTGGACGAGAGAGCATGTCTGTCTTAAAAGAAAAAAGAAAAAAAAGAAATTAACATCCACAGAAAAGGATTTGTGTAATAATTTACCAGATCCTTTCTTACCTGATACTGGGGATCTGCCGAGATTGGCCACTCATTTTGGGTTGATCTTAAAACTTTGATAGAATTTAAGGGCCCCAAAAATGCCTCTTGGGGCCTGTCCTGCTCTGAGCATGGTTGTTCCCCTTCACTTTGGGATAATATCACGGGCCCGACACTGCCTATGAGAAGCAGAGGCTCACCTGTCCTCCTGGGCGTCTTTCGGCAGCCATGGTCAGAACACATACCTGGCTCTGTTTTAGGGAGAGTAAAACTAGCAGGTGGGCACAGCTGCAAAGTCCCCAGCTTTGAACAGGACCCCAAAGGGGAAACAGTCACTAGCCTTCTCTGTACCCCACAGTCCTTGAGTTACTAGAGTCTCCTGCAATCACATCTTGCCAGCAGGCCTTGCTTTTCTGCCGCTCCGAGTCCCCCGTTCCCTGCTCCAAGCTGCTGGAATATGGAGCCCACTGCCTGGCAGAGCTCTGAGTATTCTTAGCTCTTCCTGCCAACAGCTTTGAGGCTCTGGGCTAGGTGGGGAATGGGTGGGGATGGGCCTACCTTAAGCCCCCTCCTTGTCACTTCCATTTTCCAGCACACTCACATGCTTGGCACTAACTGTGACACCCTCCTTGCCCATGCAACCTGACAGACACGTGTGAGTTTGCTAGGGCCACCTTAACAAAGTACCATGGATTGTGGGGCTTAAACAACAGAATCTGTTTTCTTGCAATTCTAGAGACTACAAGTCTGAGACCATAAATGTCAACAGGTTAGTTTCTTCTGAGGTCGCTCTTCTTGGCTTGTTTTCTCCATGTGTCCTCACGTGGTCCTCCCTCTGTACCTGTCTGTATCCTGTATCCTAATTTCCTCTTCTTATAAGGACACCAGGCATGTTGGATTAGGACCACTCTCATGACCCCATTTTAACCTAATTACCTTTATGTCCAATTTTTTTTTTTTTTTTTTGAGACGGAATTTTTCTCTCGTTGCCCAGGCTGTAGTGCAATGGCATGATCTCGGCTCACTGCAACCTCTGCCTCCTGGGTTCAACTGATTGTCCTGCCTCAGCCTTCTGAGTAGCTGGGATTATAGGGGACACACAACATACCCAGCTAATTTTTTGTATTTTTAGTAGAGATGGGGTTTCACCATGTTGGCCAGGCTGGTCTTGAACTCCTGACCTCAGGTGATCCACCCACCTCTGCCTCCCAAAGTGCTGGGATTGCAGGTGTGAACCACCACGCTTGGCCGCCTATCTCCAATTATAGTCACATCTAGAGTTACTAGGGGTTAAGACTTCAACATACAGATTTTTTTTGTCTTTTCTGAGACGGAGTCTGTCTCTGTCGCCCAGGCTGGAATGTAGCGGCACAATCTCAGCTCACTGAAACCTCCGAGTCCCGGGTTCAAGCGATTCTCCCGCCTCAGCCTCCCAGGTAGCTGGGATTACAGGCACCCACCATTATGCCTGGCTAATTTTTTTTTTTTTTTTGTATTTTTAGTAGAGATGGGGTTTCGCCATGTTGGCCAGGCTGGTCTCGAACTCCTGACCTCAGGTGATCCGGCCACCTTGGCCTCCCAAAGTGCGGGGATTACAGGCTAGATTTTTTGTTTTTTGGATTGGGAGGACACAGTTCAAGTTCATGACACACTCCCTGTTACTGATGTCTGAACCCCCGTGAGTTCAGCCTGCATCCTCATATAGAACTGTTTGGGTGGATCAAGGTTGCAACCAATTAAAAAATTATCTAAGTTTGAAATATATTGGGGATACCTCAGAATCTTTTTCTGTAAGAGTTATGATTGGTTTTAGTTCTGTCATTTTATGTTATGTTTTCTGTTTTTAAACCTTTAATAGGCCAGGCACGGTGGCTCATGCCTGTAATCCCAGGACTTGGGGAGGCCGAGGCGGGCTGATCACCTGAGGTCCTGGCGAACATGGTGAAACCCCGTCTCTACTAAAAATACGAAAATTAGCTGGTAGTGGTGGTGCGCTCCTGTAGTCCCAGCTACTCGGGAGGCTGAGGCCAGAGAATCACTTGAACCTGGGAGGCAGAGGTTACAGTGAGCCAAGATCGTGCCACTGCACTCCAGCCTGGTCAACAGAGTGAGACTCTGTCTCAAAAAACAAACAAACAAACAAAACCTTTAATAATATGTTATTTACTATATGATCAGTTTTATTGACTTTGTGTGTACATTTCTTCCAATAATTTGAAAGATTTACAATCTGCTTTTAGTTCTGGTAGTTATCTTTGTAACTACTATGTACCTTTTTTTGTTTTTTTTTTTTGAGACAGAGTCTCGCTGTGTCGCCCAGGCCGGACTGCAGTGGCCCTATTTCGGCTCACTGCAAGCTCCGCCTCCCGGGTTCACGCCATTCTCCTGCCTCAGCTGGGACTACAGGCACCTGCCACCACGCCCGGCTAATTTTTTGTGTTTTTAGTAGAGACGGGGTTTCACCATGTTAGCCAGGATGGTCTTGATCTCCTGACCTCGTGATCCGCCCACCTCGGCCCCCCAAAGTGCTGGGATTACAGGCGTGAGCCATTGCGCCCGGCCTACTATGTAACTTTTTAATATATGCCATCCTCAACTTTTTAGGCAGTGCCTACTGACTCATCACCATGAGCTTGACAGAGTTATTCTGAAAAGTGTTAATCTTAACAAAAATAACATTTATTATACTTTATTTTTAAAGAAAATGTAAAAGTTTAACCCTTTCCACAGTGTTGCATTGTATGGTATCTATCATACACATTTTAAAGGTGGGGAATTCAAGGTGTAGAGAGGTACCAGAACTTGCCCAAGGCCATTTATGTTAGTATCTGGCAGAGCTGGAATGTGCCCTGGAGTCTGTGATTCCAGAGCTTTGGCCTTGATGCTGCCTTGTTGGGCCTGCACATTTTAGGAAACTGCGTCTCCTCCCTCTTTGGAGCCGGGCTCTGTGGAGGGAGTAACTGAGAGCTGCAGGTCTTAGTGGGACTTGGATCTACCCTGGGAATCTGGGTGTGTCTCTTCAGGGGTGCTCAGGCACTCATTCAAGCAGTGGCCTTTTTTTTTTTGGCACAGTCTTGCTGTTGCCCAGGCTGGAGTGCACCGGTGCGATCTTGCCTCACTGCAAGCTCCGTCTCCCGGGTTCACACCATTCTCCTGCCTCAGCCTCCCGAGTAGCTGGGACTACAGGCTCCCGCCACCACGCTAGGCTAAATTTTTGTATTTTTAGTAGAGACGGGTTTCACTGTGTTAGCCAGGATGGTCTCAATCTCCTGACCTCGTGACCCTCCTGCCTCGGCCTCTCAAAGTGCTGGGATTACAGGCGTGAGCCACCGCGCCCGGCCCCTAAGCAGTGGCTTTAATATCCCCTTGATGTGACCTGTGAGCAGCTTCCCAAGGCAGGAAATTCCAGAAGTGAGTCAGGGCCAGGGCCCTGGAGCCACTTCCCTGGGTCCCCAGAAGCAGCCTTTCTGTGGCTGTCAGAGGGGCATAGCTGGGTGCACACCAGGGTGGGGCCAGTCCAGAAGCTGGCAGTATTGATGGAGACCCCTCTGTGTCCCACTCCCTGCTTGGGGGAGCCATTGAGGCATAGTGGCCAGTGTGGGACCCTGCATCTTTAGCATTTGTATCTGCAGTGTTGTGCACATACAAGTGACTCTTTTTGTTTTAATCTGTTAGCCTAGAGGGGCAGAGTAGCAGACTGAGTCTCCACGGCTTTCCACTACCCCAGCCTTCAGCATTCCATCTCCAGCTTCTCTAGGGACACTCCCACTCCATGACCACCTATTCTGTGGACTTACAGTGAGGAGCAATTAGCTGTGTCAGTCAGGGTTTGCATGGAGAAGCAGAATGAGTAGGAGAAACAGACAGAAACGTAGATGTAGGCATATTCATGTACATAAACACACATGCAGTTGTAGACACATACACTAGCTATATAGACATACGTGCATATAGCCACAGACACACATGTATATACACACATAGACATAGACACACAGGTACACACACACAAATGCAGATATACACATTTTTATTTATTGACTTATTTTTGAGACAGGGTCTCGCCCTGTCACCCAGGCTGGAGTGCAGTGGCAGTCACGGCTCACTGCAGCCTCAACCCCCGGACTCAAATGATGTTCCCACCGTAGCCTCCCAGGTAGCTGAAACCACAGGCATGCCCCACCATGCCTGGCGAATTTTTAAATTGTTTGTAGAGATAGGGTTTCCATATGTTGCACAAGCTGCTCTTGATCTCCTAGGCACACGCAGTCCTCCCGCCTTGACCTCCTAAAGTGCTGGGATTGCAGATGTGAGCCACCATGTCCAGCCCCTGCATTTTAAAAGAGAGTTTTTACAGAATATTAGTCTTATGTCATTGTGGGGCTGGCTAAGTAGTCTCTGTTGGGCTGTCATTTCAATGTCTGATGCTGGAGCTTGAAGTCTACGGGAAAGGTGAAGTTAAGAAGAGAAGATCATGAGCAGGCTAGAACCTGTGGGCATGAGCTGGAACCCCACAAGGATGGAATAAAATTGTCTTTGACTTTGATAGTGTGGGTATCCTGCAGAATCTGGGGCCCTGTGTCATGGACCTAACCAATGTATCCTGGCTCAGGGGTTGGATAAGCTGACAAAAGCTCCAGGAGAGGGTGGAGCAGTTGTGGGCCTAGCCACTGCTTTATGCCAGTGAGGCAAGTCAGCAGATCAGCAACAATGTGTTTGAGCTGCAGAATCTCTGCTTCTTCCCTTTCCCGCACCATATCTCCCAGAAATCTTCCTGTGGTCTACGCTAAGCAGAATGTATAAGGAAAGGAATTCTGGGAACTGAAGTTCAGCCTAGCCATGTTGACACAGTAGAAAGCCATCACATTGCTAGAAGATTGAGTGAGCTGGTAGGAAGACAGTAGGCTTGGGAGTCAGAACTATTTAAATTGTAATCCTGACTTCCTTGCTGTGTGAAATTATCTGATCTGTGCCTCTTCATTAGTGGGGAATAATAATACAAATTGCAGAGTTATTAATTAGATTAAATGGAATTAAGAATGTTGAGTATCTCACTTTGCTCCTGGACCTGGGATAAGAAATCTCAGACCTTTCACAGTTCTTGATACTAACCAGGAACATAATATCTCTACATAATTAAGTTAGACTCTGTCCCCTGGACAAATGGTTTCTTCACGTAGGGCTTGTATGTTCCTTGTGTTAGGTTTATTCTTAGGATGTTGATAATTTCTTCTTGTTATTGTGAGTGAAATTTAGTTATGTTTTAAAATTGGTTATAGATGATACATGGTTCCAGAATGTTGCTAATAAATAGCTGTGTTCCTGTCTTTAGTGGGAATTCCTCTGGAGTTTCCTCATAACTCCGATACTGGCTGTTGGTTTTAGATAGCATTTATATTTTCTATTTAGCATTTTAATGTCCTTTTTGTGTCTGTTTTTCAGTGTCTTCCTGGAGAATATAAAACTAGGCTGGCGCTAATACCAAGAAGAGGTATTTTTAAAGGCACAAATAGATGTGGGATTTTATCAAATGATGTCTTGTCAGCATCTCTCAAGATGATCATATATTTTTTTCATTTTTGAAATATTAATATGATTAACAATATGAATAGACTTTCTAGCAGGATAGAATATTGAAATCCAAGGTGACTTGATGGAAAGAGCATAGGACAGAGTACCTGGAAACCTCGATTCTAGTTCTAGGTTTGTTTTTTTTGTTTTGTTTTGTTTTTGTTTTTTTTTGAGACGGAGTCTCTCTGTGTCGCCCAGGCTGGAGTGCAGTGGCACGATCTCGGCTTACTGCAACCTCCACCTCCCGGGTTCAAGCGATTCTCCTGCCTCAGCCTCCTGAGTAGCTGGGATTACAGGTGTGCACCACCATGCCTGGCTAATTTTTTTTGTACTTTTTAGTAGAGACGGGGTTTCACCATGTTGGTCAGGCTGGTCTCAAACTCCTGACCCCATGATCTGCCCACCTCGGCTTCCCAAAGTGCTGGTAATACAGGCGTGAGCCACTGCGTCCAGCCTCTAGTTTGGTTTTTTAATTTCAAATTTGACCTGGACAAGCCAGTATGTTTTATTATTCCCTTTAACAAATATCCCACATTCATATTTCCTTTTCTGTAAAATGGCGATAGTTATGCATGTCCTCCCTTCCTTACTAGGGAGTTGGAAGGATAATCATGAGTTAAGAAGTCCTTCCTTTACATTTATTTAAGTGCCTTCACATCTGTAAAAGAACTTTGGCCGGATGTGGTGGCTCACGCCTGTAATCCCAGCACTTTGGGAGGCCGAGGCGGGCGGATCACGAGTTTAGGAGATCGAGACCATCCTGGCTAACATGGTGAAACCCGGTCTCTACTAAAAATACAAAAAAAAATTAGCTGGGCGCTGTGGTGGGCGCCTGTAGTCCCAGCTACTCGGGAGGCTGAGGCAGGAGAATGGCATGAACCCGGGAGATGGAGCTTGCAGTGAGCCAAGATTGTGCCACTGCATTCCAGCCTGGGCAACAGAAGCAAGACTCCGTCTCAAAAAAAGAAAAAAAAAACCTTGAAAAAAGTATAAAATGAAGGGACCTGATCTTATTTACTGTACCTTGGTCAACCAAAAACTCTTTCCTTTCCCTCCCTCCCTTCTTCCAACAAATATTTATTAAGAAACTTCAATGTGGTCTGGCGCGGTAGCTCACGCTTGTAATCCCAGCACTTTGGGAGGCCAGGGTGGGCAGATGACCTGAGGCCAGGAGTTCGAGACCAGCCTGACCAACATGGCAAAACCCCGTCTCTACTAAAAATACAAAAAATTAGCTTGGTGTGGTGGCATGCACCTGTAATCCCAGCTACTTAGGAGGCTGAGGCAGGAGAATTGCTTGAACCCAAGAGGCAGAAGCTGCAGTGAGCCAAGATCCTGCCATTGTACTCCAGCTTGGGCAACAAGAGTGAAACTCTGTCTCAAAAAAAAAAAAAAGAGAAAACTTCACTGTGCTAGGAATTGTTCTAGACACAGGGAATACAGCAGTTACAAAGTAGGCAAATTCCCTGCACTGTGCAGCTTACATTCTAAGAAACAAACACTCATATACATGTCAGCTAAGCTATATATACTATGAAGATAAATAAAGTGGGGGAGAGGGGTGAGGGTGAGGGGGGCAGGTTGTGGGGAAGTTTACTTTAAATGGGGTAGTCAGAAAAGACCTCTCTGAGGTGACATTGGAGCAGAGAACTTAATGGAGAGGGAATGAGCCATATGGAAATCTGGGGAAGAAGGTTCCAGGCAGAGGAAACAGCAAGTGCAAAGACCCTGAGGAATGGCGGTGATGCCCACGAAGCTCGAGTTGGGTGAGCAGGTAGGAGAGGGAGAGTATTTGCGGTCTCTCTCTCTCTCTTTTTTTCTTTTTAAGCTGGGTCTCGCTCGGTTGCCCAGGCTGTAGTGCAGTGGCGTGATCTCAGCTCAGTGCAACCTCTGCCTCCTGGAATCAAGTGATTCTCCCACCTCAGCCTCCTGGGTAGCTGGGACTACAGGTGTGCGCCACCATGTCTGACTAATTTTTTGTAGAGACGGGGTTTCGCCATCTTTCCCATGCTGGTCTTGAACTTCTAGACTCAGGTGATCCTCCTGCCTCAGCCTCCCAGAGAGCTGGGATTTTTACAGGCGTGAGCCACGATGCCTGGCCAGATTTGAGGTCTAAGAGGTCAAAGAGGGTCAGATAATGGAGGAATTTGTGTCCCTCCCACTGTTTTTTTCTAAGCGTGAAGGGAAGCCTTTGGAGGCTGGTGAGCTGTAGGCGACACAATCAGTCTTCGTGTCTTGCAGGATCACGCTGGCTGCCCCATGCAGAATAGGTTGAAGCTGGTTTTAAATTGAGGCAGACGGACAGATGCGAGGGGTCACTCAGTCTGGGATGATAACAGTGGAGATGGTGTCATGTGGAGGATTTGAGTCCCTTTTTGCAGGAGGTGCTGTCTGGATTTGCAGTGCATTGAAGATCTCATCTTTGGGACAGCTAGTTGGCTTTTCCTGTGAGAAGAAAATGCATCAGCCGCGCTGCCTTCCCCAGTCTGGAAAATCTGGCTTGCCTTTTCCACAGCACCGTTGATGCGGAGTTGGGAGAAACCCCGAGCTTAGCCCCAGCAACTCTCCAAACCTCTGGCTGGACTAAGTGTCAAAAATAACTAAAGGGTTTGGATGTCCCCAGGAGAAATTCTTTTCTGAGGCCCAACCCAGAAACAGATTTCATGGTTTGATCTGATACCCAGAGGAAGTGGCTCCCCACTCACCCAGCCTCCCCCGTGGATCTGGGGAGGCTTGTTCAGAAAGGAAGATGAGCAAGTTGGCCTCATGCCACACAGTTACAGTTTGCATTAGTCATAGGACACTTCGCCATGGGGACATTGTGATTAATTAATAGAAGACGGAGACAACATTTGGGAGGCATTTGTTTTTATTCGGAGTGTCTGGTCCCTTCAGACGGTCCTTGGTGTTGTTCCGAGCTGAACCACCCCCCTGCTCAGTGGGGCCAACTCGCTAAGTCATGCTCTTGTTCTTTAAACTGTCTCCCCACATCTGAACTCCAAAAAGTCTCGTCTTCATCTCTCCCTAATATTACAGCCTCAAGTCTTCCCCTACTGTTTTCTGCTAAGTTGAGTTCTCTGTTGATCTTCTGCTGACAATTTATTTCCTTCTCAGAGCATAGGCATCCAGGCCTGAGCATTGAAAACATCCTCCTTTGCTGGTGGGTACCCCCCTCCCCCCAGTTCGGAGGTCTGTGGATGTCTGCAGTGGGTCTCATAAGCTTATTGGACATGGAGCTCAGAGGTGGTACCAGAGCTGTGGGTGGATAGGAAAGAAAAAGAAGGCATTGTGCCCTCTCTGCTGGCTTATTCCCACCACGTGGAGATGGGAAACCACACATTAAAAACAACATTAAAAGACGAGATCAGGAACTTAAACAGATATAAACCAGCAGAGCGTGATGGGGGCATTTATAGCTGCTCACCCCCTTAATCGAAGAGAAATCTCTCGGGCGGGCTCAGTCCCTGGACTTTCTGGTGAAGAGCCAGTCTGAGCAATGGACAGAGGGACAACATTGCAGAGGTCTGAAAAGCTGGTTTTGAAGCAGAAGGTGGGACTTGACTCTGGAGGTGGGCCTTGGACACCCAGCCAAATTGAAGACTAGCTAAAACAGAGGCAGGGTGGAAGCAGCTTTCCAAAACACACACCCACCACTGCGCCAGGTCATTTTACCATTGCCATGGCAACACCTGGGGATTACTGCCTCTTTCCATGGCACTGACTGAGGACCCCAGAATTACCACCTTTTTCCTAGAAATTTCTGTGTAAACTGCCCTTTAATCTACATGTAATTAAAAGAGGATGTAGGCCGGGCTGCGTTGGCTCACACCTGTAATCCTAGCACTTTGGGAGGCCGAGGCAGGTAGATCACAAAGTCAAGACATCAAGACCATCCTGGCCAACATGGTGAAACCCCGTCTCTACTAAAAATACAAGAATTACCCGGGCGTGGTGGCACGCACCTGTAGTCCCAGCTACTTGGGAGGCTGAGGCAGGAGAATCACTTGAACTTGGGAGCCGGAGGTGACAGTGAGCCGAGATTGTACCACTGCACTCCAGCCTGGCGATAGGGCGAGAGACTGTCTTAAAAAAAAAAAAAAAGTGGATGTAAATATGAGTGCAGAACTGCCCCGAGCTTCTACTGTCTGCCCAGGGGGTAGCCCTGCTCTGCAGCGGCGGTCACAGGGCTATAGTCACAGGGCTATAACCCTGTGGCTTCAATAGAGTTGTTTTCTTCCATCCTACCACATGGATTGCCCTTGAATTCTTTCCTGGGGGAAGCCAAGAACCCTTATGGGGTAGGCCCCACTTTGGGGCTCACCTGTCCTAGATCAATTTCAGGATAAGAGAAAGGGCCAGTCCTTGTAGAGCAAAAGGGATCTTTGCACAGTGTTGGTGGGGAATATAAATCAGTTCAGCTATTACGGAAAACAGGATGGAGGTTCCACAAAAAATTAAAAATAGAATTACCATACTATCCAGGGATCCCACTACTGGGTATATATCCGAAGGAAATAAAATCTATATGGAAGAGGCGTCTGCCCTCCTGTGTTCATTGAGTCCTGTTCACAATAGCCCAGAGAGGGAATCCACCAATGAATGAGTGGATAAAGAAAATGTGGCTCACACCTGTAATCCCAGCACTTTGGGAGGCCGAGGCGGGCGGATCATGAGGTCAGGAGATCGAGACCATCCTGGCCAACATGGTGAAACCCCGTCTCTACTAAAAATACAAGAAAAATAGCTAGGCGTGGTGGATGGTGCCTGTAGTCCCAGCTACTCGGGAGGCTGAAGCAGGAGAATGGCATGAACCCGGGAGGCAGAGCTTGCAGTGAGCGGAGATCGCGCCACTGGACTCCAGCCTGGGCGATAGAGCGAGACTCCCATCTCAAAAAAAAAAGAAAAAAGAAAATGTGGTACAGGTCAGGCATCCCAAATCAGTGCTGTCATGATGCTCAAAGAAAATGGTCATTGGAGCATTTTGGTTTTGGATTTTTGGGTATGGAATGCCCAACCTGTATATATACACAATGGCAAACTATTCCACCTTAAAAAAAGAGAAAATCCTATCATTTGTGACAACATGGATCAACCCAGAGGACATTATGCAAAGTGAAATAAGCCAGGCCACAGAAAGATAAATACCATGTGATCTCATTTATATGTGGACTCTAAAAAAGTTGAACTCATAGAAGCAAAGAGTAGAATGGTGATCACCAGGGGCTGGGTGGGGTGGGGCTATGGGTTGCGGGTGGGGAATATGCTGGTCAAAGAACACAAAATTTAGTTAGGAGGATTAAGTTCAGGAAATGGTGACTATAGTTAATAATAGCGTATTATATTTTAAAAATTGCTAAAAGAGTGGATTTTAATTGTTCTCACCACAAATAAGTATGTGGAGTAATGCGTAGATTAATGAGCTCAGTTGAGCCACTCCACAGTGTATGTACACCATAAATATATGTTGTACACCATAAATATATACAATTTTAATTTGTTAATTAAAATAAAATCTGGCGAGGCGCAGTGGCTCACACCTGTAATCCCAGCACTTTGGGAGGCCGAGGCAGGCAGATCACTTGAGGCCAGGAGTTCAAGACCAGCCTGGCCAACATGGTGAAACCCTGTCTCTACCAAAAATACAAAGTTTAGCTGGGTGTAGTGGCACCTGCCTATAATCCTGGCTACTTGGGAGACTGAGATAGGAGAATCACTTGAACCCAGGAGGTGGAGGTTGCAGTGAGCTGAGTGCCACTGCACGATCTCAACCTGGGCGACAGAGCGAGACTCCATCTCAAAAAAGAAAAAAAAAAAATATAAAAATATATAATCTAATTATAAAATTTGAAAAAAGTAGACAGGACTGATTTTGAAGGGAGGGGTATATGTGAGAGAGTTGGTCTGTCTGTTGGTCTGTGTGTCTTTCAGAGAAGGATGCCTGCAGGGGAGAAAGACCAAGTCAGAGGGGCTTGGGAGGAATTTAAAGTCTTTCGGTGAAAAGAAGGAAAGGGATGTTGGGGTGGAGGTCGGAGGTGCAGCTGCTAAGCCTGTGAGTCAGTTTGAAAGAAGGGGATGAAATTTTAAATGTTGCTACATGTTATGAATGAAGCCCCTCCCCCAGCCTTTTTAAAAGAGACTTTAAAGATTAAATTGCTTTAAAAATGATTTTTTTTTTTAGTTGAGACAGGGTCTTACTCTGTCGCCCAGACTGGTACAATCTTGGCTCACTGCACCCTCCGCCTCCTGGGTTCAAGCGACTCTCGTGCCTCAGCCTCCCAAGCAGCTAGGACTACAGGCGCGCACCACCATACCCGGATAATTTTTTTGTATTTTTAGTAGAGACGGGGTTTCGCCCTGTTGGCCAGGCCAGTCTCAAACTCCTGGCCTCAAGTGATCCACCCACCTCGGCCTCCCAAAGTGCTGGGATTATGGGCATGAGCCACCGTGCCTGGCCAAAAATAATTTTTGAATGATGCTTGAGTGATGTTTCTTTAAATGTGATACCACATGGAGACGGAGTCAGGCCCGAGTAGACAAAGACTGAGATGATGGGTGTGCACGTAGGGTGGTGGGGTGAGGTTGAAGATCAGCAAGTTAGACCAGGTTTAAAAGGAAGAGGCATTCTTCAGGGGAGAAGGTGCCAGCTATCATCACCTGAGCAAAGATCAGGTAAATCTGAATAAGAAGTATTTAGTTATGGGCACCAGATGTTTAGGAAACAAAAGGGGTAAGTGAAAGAATTGTGAGTACGTGAGCACGTATCCATACGTTCACGAGTACATGTATTCATACATTCATGCGTACATTTTCATGCAGTACTCATGCAATCATTGAGTACATTTTCATACCTTCACGAGTACATGTATTGAGTACATGTTTTTATACATTTGTCAGTACATGTATTCATATGTTCATGAGTACGTTTTCATGCATTAACATGTTTTTATACGTTCATGTTTTAATACACTCATGAGCACATGTATTCATTCATGAGTACCTTTTCATGCAGTCAGTACATTTTTATACATTTATGACTACATGTTTTCATGCATTCATGAGCACATTTTTATACATTCATGTCATGTTTTAATACACTCATGAGCACATGTATTCATTCTCGAGCCCGTCTATTTATGTATTCATGAGTACATGTTTTCATACATTCATGAGTATATACATTCATGAGCACATGTATTCATACATTCATGAGTACATGTATTCACTGAGTACATGTTATATGTTCATGAGTACATGTATTCATACATGCAGGAATACAGGAATACATGAGACTTTGTTTTGTTTTCTTTTGTTCTTTTGAGACAGAGTCTCGCTCTGTTGTCCAGGCTGGAGTGCAGTGGTGTGATCTTGGCTCACTGCAACCTCCGCCTCCCGGGTTCAAGCGATTCTTGTGCCTCAGCCTCCCAAGTAGCTGGGATTACAGGCATGTGCCACACGCCTGGCTAATTTTTGTATTTTTGGTAGAGACAGGGTTTTGCCATGTTGGCCAGGCTGGTCTCAAACTCCTGACTTTAAGTGATCTGCCTGCCTTGGCCTCCCAAAGTGCTGGGATTACAGGCGTGAGCCACCACACCCTGCCCAGGAATACATGAGACTTTGAAGTTCTGATTGCTAACCCAAGCAATGTTGGCTGTAATTATCAGGCCCCGCTGTGTTCAGAAACTTAAAGTTTAGGTGGGAAAGTAAAACTCAGTAATCATAGGTAAACAGAGACCAAGTAAGCGCTGCTCTTCGAGGTCTAGATATAGCTGTGGCAAGAGGCACGCTGGGGAGGAAGAAAAGTTCTGGGTAACCTGGAGGGGTCAGGGAGGAGTTTCAGAAAGTAGTCGTGGCCTTGGCTTGGGTGTGGAAGTAATAGCAAACTCAGCAAGATACCTTTTATGTTTTGATAACGGCTTTATGGAGATATAATTTGCATACCATTCAATTCACCCCTGTAAAGTGTATAAATCGGTTTTTAGTACATTCATGGAGTTGTGCAATCATTACCATCATCAATTTTAGAACATTTCCAGCACCTCAAAAAGCAATGCCATTCCCATTAGCAGTCACTTCCCGTTCCCCCCAACCACGCCTTCCTTAGGCGGCCACTTATCTATTTCCATCTGTATAGATTTGCCTATTCTGGGGATTGCTTATAAATAGAACAATATAATATGCAGCCTTTTGTGTCTGGCTTGTTTCACTTAGCAGAATGTTTTTGAGGCTCTTTCTCCTTGTAGCATGTATTAGGACTTCATTTCTTTTTATTTCTGAATAATGGTTCATTGGTTTGGATAGATCACGTTTTGTTTATTTGCTCATCAGTTGGTGGGCATCATTTGGTTGGTTTCTACTTTTTGGCTCTTTAGGAGGAATCCTGGTATGAACGTTTGTGTACATGTTTTTGGGTGGACATGTGTTTTTAATTTTCTTGGATGTATATCCAGGGGTGGAATTGCTGGGTCACGTGGTAAGTATGTTTAACCTTTTGAGGAATGGCCAGGCTGTTTTCCAAGGCTGCTGTACCACCAGGATCGTATGAGGGTTCCAATGCCTCCATATCCTTGCCAACATTGGTAATTATCTACGTTTTTTTTTTTTTTTTTTTAAATCATAGCTGTTCTAGTGGGTGTGAAGTGGTATCTCACTGTGGTTTTAATTTGCATTTCCCTGAAGACTACTGGTGTTGGCTGGCCATCTTTTCTTGTGCCTTATTGACCATTCATGTTTTTTTGTTGTTGTTTTTTGTTTTTTTTTGTTTTTTTTTTTGAGGCTGAGTCTTGCTCTGTCATCCAGGCTGGAGTGCAGCAGCACGATCTTGGCTCACTGCAACCTCCACCTCCCGGGTCCAAGAGATTCTCCTGCCTCAGCCTCCCAAGTAGCTGGGATTACAGGCGCGCGCCACCACACCTGGCTAATTGTATTTTTAGTAGAGACGTGGTTTCACCATATTGGCCAGGCTGGTCTTGAACTCCTGACCTCGCGATCCACCTGCCTTGGCCTCCCAAAGTGCTGGGATTACAGGCGTGAGCCACCATGCCCTGCCTCATGTATCTTCTTTGGAGAAAGGTCTATTTAGAGCTTTTGCCCATTTTGTAATTGAGTTACATTATCAATGTCTTTTAATTATTGGGCTGTAAGTGTTCTTTATATATTCTAGATAAAAGTCCCTTATCAGATACGTGGTTTGCAAAATTTTTCTCCCATTCTGTGGTTTGTCTTTTCACTTTCTTAATGATGTCCTTTGGAACACAAAAGTTAGTAATTTCAATAAAGACCAGTTTACCGATTTTTTCCTTTGATTCCTTGTGCTTTTGGTGTCATATCTATGAAGGCATCACCTAGTCTAAGAAGGTCATGAAGATTTACACCTATTTTTTTGAAGAGTTTTTTTGTTTTGTTTTTGAGATGGGGTCTCACTGTCACTCAGGCTGTAATGCAGTGGTGTGATCATAGCTCACTGCAGCCTTGACCTTCCGGTCTCAAACAATCCTCCCACCTCAGCCTCCCAAGTAGCTGGGACTACAGGCATGTGCCACCCTGCCCAGCTAATTTTTAAACCTTTCATAGAGATAGTGTCTTCCTGCGTTGCCCAGGCTGGTCTCAAACTCCTGAGCTCAAGTGATGCACCTACCTCAGCCTCCCATCGTTGCTGGGATTACAGGCATAAGCCATGGTGCCTGGCCAAGAGTGTTCTAGTTTTAGCTCTTACATTTAGTCTTTTGATCCATTTTGAGTTAATTGTATGCCGTGTGAGCAAGGAGTCCAGCTTCATTCTTTTGTATGTTTGTATCTCTCATCGCAGCAGTTTGTTGAAAAGATGGCCCTTTCCCCCATTGAGTGGTCTTGGCGTTTTTGCTATCAAGGCTCCTCTTACCTATGTTATTTATTTAAGTCAAAGGGTGAAAAAATGTCTTCTCATATATGTCTGCTGACCCACAGGGAGATACCAAATCAATCAGGATTATTTAGGTTAAAAGATCATTTGGTTTGGAATTTGAAAAAAGAAAAAGCAGGCCGGGTGCAGTGACTCACGCCTGTAATCCCAGCACTTTGGGAGGCCGAGGTGGGCAGATCACGAGGGAGGTCAGGAGATCGAGACCATCCTGGCTAACACGGTGAAAACCCATGTCTACTACAAATACAAAAAATTAGCTGGGCGCGGTGGTGGGCGCCTGTAATCCCAGCTACTCGGGAGGCTGAGGCAGGAGAATGGTGTGAACCCGGGAGGCGGAGCTTGCAGTGAGCCGAGATCACGCCGCTGCACTCCAGCGTGGGTGACTCTATCTCAAAAAAAAAAAAAAAAGAGAAAAGAAAAAGCAAAACGATCACTTATTTCACTGAAAATGAAAACAGGCAAGGGATGTTGTTGCATAAATGTAAGTAATGAAATGCTGGGTTTTATGTTCTGGCCTAGTTAAGGGGGTGAGAGGGGGAGGCATTTGGCCTCAGCTAGCTTTGGAATTCAATGATCTGTGGATTGATACTCAGAACTGATTGTATCAAGTATGGAATCCCGGGCTGTGGGTTTGTGGGTCTCCCATCCACCCCTCCCGTCCACTCCCTCTAATGGCTCCTGGGAGCAGCCAGAGGTCAGCACAGGGACAACCAGGCAGAGGGAACAGTCGTCTGTGGACTCTCCACAAGTTGTTTCTTGGCCTTGATTTAGGAAGGGGATTAGGAAATTGTTTCCTCTCGAAGTCTGCACCGCAGAGTGGAATCCTGGAGCACTGTGGCCTCCACCTCCCATGTGTGGGTTGGGCACTGGAGCCGCCCCGGAACTGCTGGTGAGGGCTGGGGAGGATGTACGCATGGCCTCCGTGTGTGACTCGGGGGCCCCAGCCGGGGTAGGGCCGAGCCCTGGCTCCCAGGCCTGGCTGGGCTCCCTGGAAACTGGACTGAATCCCTCGCCGGTGCTGCCTCCCCTCGGAGTCCATCCAAGCTGAACGCCTGAGAGCAGAGGATTAGCTAAGCCCCAGATGTTTAGGGGTCTGACTCAGTGTGTGTGTGTGCTCCGTTGAGAGCTTATGTGGCCCGAGTGGTGGTCCTGGAATTTGCTCAGATCTTTGCGTGGGTTCTGGTGTTTAATCAGCATTTCCAAGGAGATGCTTGGGATTCCAGGATTTACTCGATTTACTCAGAGATTCCTCTCCTAGTCCACTTCGCCTGGTTGGAGCTTGCCCAGTCTTGGGGGTTTAGGGGGACAGAGACTGGGGTCGGTTCACACCTTGGAGGGGGCCTTCTGCCCCTGCTTTCCATCAGAGCCCTGGAATCGGGGGATTTTCTGCGCAAGATCTGGTGTTTTCCTGGTTCAGATTAGTATCTTTAAAATTAAAATTCTTGAATGAGGATTGTGTCCTGCGGCCCTGAGTCTGTCCCTCTGTGAGTGCACAGCTAAAATACTTTCAGGGCTGCTGGGTGGGACTGTTTGATGAGGTGCTGGGGCAAAGAAAAATGGAGCGTTCCCCACAGGAACTTGAGCCCAGGTCTCCTCCAGGCCGTGGACTCGGTGTGCAATACTCCCCGCCTCCTGACCTGCTCATCCCCAGCTGGCACACTCACTTCCTGGGCCATGTTTGGTTCATCTTTACACAGCAGGCTGTGCAAAAGTGAGAGGGCAACATGGGGCCCCTGGAAACCAGGCGTTCCCCTGACGCAAGCTGAGGCTGCATCTGAGGAGGGGCTCGTGGAAGCACTGCTTTCTTCTTCCCAGGGCTTCCTGTTAACTCACTGTCCAGAGCCGTGGAAGGTTAAACTAACTTGATTTAGGGTTCAAAATGCAGGGAGCATCAGCCAGTCATTGGGAACACATGGCCAGCTGGAAATCCACACTCTCCCAATTGTGTAATGTTGCCAATTGATTTAAACTAACAACAACAACAAACAATGTAAGGTGCTGGCCAGCACCTACCAGCAGGCTGGCTCCAACCTTCAGGCCAGTAAACAGCCTGCACTCACACCCAGGTTTCTAGACTCCCAGCCTCTGATGCAATCTCCCTTCAAGGATACCAGGACTCTCTAGGGGAAGAAACAGAGACCCAAAGAGGTTAAAAAAGGTCACACAGCTTAAGCGGCAGAGCTGGGGTTTGAAGCCAGAACTGGTTCACTGTCTGCTGTGCTCTCACTGGGACTAGAGTCAGAGCCGGCTTGGTTCCGGAGCATAGTCTCTTCCCCGTGCCCCACGCTGGGACTGGCTCCTAACCCTCAAAAGAAGGCTGTTGTTTAACAAGTGAGTGGCTTCCCCGAATTCTGGGCACTTCTCAGGAGCAGGAGGAAGATCTTGAGAGAGAGAATATGTGTGTGCGCGAGTGTGTGAGTGTGTCTGCATGTGTGTGAGCGTGTGTGTGTGAATGTGTGTGTTTTCGAGAGTGTGTGCATGTCTGCGTGTGTGCGCTCTTTGTGTGTGTGCTTGTGTGTGCGTGTGTGATACGTGTTTGTGTGTATGTGAGTGGGTGTGAGTGTGCGTGTGTGCATGAGTGCGTGTGCGCGCGCGCGTGTGTGCATCTGCGTGTTTGTGTGTGCGTGTTTGCACGTTTGTGTGTGCATGTGCGTGAGTGTGTGGGTGTGTGTGCAAGAGTGTGTGTGAGTGTATGAGTGTGTGTGTGAGCGTGTGTGTGTGGCATGCACACATTCATGTGCATGTGATTTCTCTTTCCCTCACACCATTCATTAAGGGTTTCTTCCCTGAGAACTCCAGGAAGTTCCAGGAGAACGGACAGGATTAGAGCAAATACTTTCTCCTGTCTGAGAAGCGACTCCCCCATTTAACCCTTCCCCTTCCTTGAGTCCCTGGGACAATCACTGCTGGAGATTTGGTGGCCAGGGAACCCAAATAGTGTGGCCACCACCCCCGACCCCTGCTGTGGGTCCCTGGCAGGTCAGAGGGCTGCTCTGCGATGGGGGCCAGGGAACACATCAGCGCAGGCTTCATACTGCACAGATGGGTTGCACCCGTGGTGGTCAGAACGCACATGGAGCCAGCCTTGTCCAGCTCTCTCTGGCTCTGCTGATTCCAAGTCTGTGATAGGAATCGGGGCGGGTGTATGTGAGGGTAGAGAGGAGTGGAAGGGAAGTGTTTATATAAATAACACAGGGTGGAGGGGCTTCTGAAAGATTTACTAGCTAAATATTTTCCGGATGTTTTCATCATCCTTTAAGGCCCTTCCAGAGGAAGGCTAAACAAGACTTAGTCTAATTCCCCCAGTGGCCAGTGGCTCCCACCCACAGCTGACCCCCTCACACCCGGGCCTCATTCTCTACACCACCCTGCCCTCCTCCCTCCTCATCTCCCCATCACCCTTTACTCCCCTCTTTCATCCAACTGGGAAAGAAAGAACAATCCCCATTTTATCCTTTTATGATCATATTATACACACAGTTGTTTGACCTTTTTTTTTTTTCTTTTTTTTTTTAAGATGGAGTTTCGCTCTTGTCACCCAGGCTGGAGTGCAAGAGTGCAATGGCACCATCTTGGCTCACAGCAACATCTGCCTCCCATGTTCAAGCGATTCTCCTGCCTCAGCCTCCCGAGTAGCTGGGATTACAGGTGCACACCATCACACCCAGCTAATTTTGTGTTTTTAGTAGAGATGGGGTTTCACCATGTTGGCCAGGCTGATCTTGAACTCCTGACCTCCAGTAAGCCATCTGCCTTGGCCTCCCAAAGTGCTGGGATCATAGGCATGAGCCACTGCGCCCAGCCTTGACCTATTTTTTTTAAATTTAATATTCTCAGAATATATTTCTATCATTAAATATATTTACAGGTTTGTTTTAGTGTTTGTTAGTCACAATTTGGATAAACTATTAATTTGCAATCCCCTTATGATGGACACTGAGGTTCTTCCACACCCCCCCTTTTTTTTTTTTTACTGCTATTAAAAATTACTGAAGATAACCATTCCTTGTGATGATATCTTTTTGCACGGAGAGTAATTTCCAGGAAATGTGGACCACTCAAGTGCACATTTTGACCCATGGTGTCATACTGCTCTTTATTTTTATTTATTTATTGAATTTTTTTGAGGATTCTCACTCTGTCACCCAGGCTGAAGTGCAGTAGCGCGAACTCGGCTCACTGCAACCTCCACCTCCCGGGTTCAAGCGATTCTCTTGCCTCAGCCTCCTGAGTAGCTGGGATTACAGGTGCGCACCACCATGCTCAGCTAATTTTTGTATTTTTAGTAGAGACAGGGTTTCACCATGTTGGCCAGGCTGGTCTCCAACTCCGACCTTAGGTGATCCACATGCCTCAGCTCCCCCCCAAACTGCTGGGATTACAGGCGTGAGCCACTGTGCCCGGCCCCACACTGCTCTTTAGAAAGGTTGTACCAAGTCCTTGAGAATATCCAGTGCCCCATTCGCTGGCTAAGCCTGGCATTTGCAGGCCGAAAGAGAGCCAGCAAATCATGAGATCTGTAGCCACCTGCAAATGGTGTGCTGTGGGAGCTAGGCAGGCCAGAGCCCCGATCTGCCAGTGGGGATTTGTGCGCATGTGTGGGGTGCCTAGGATGTCTGGGTTCCTTCCTTCGAGATTTAGTAAGGAACTGTGTTGTGTGGAGGCTGCGCTTTCCTTTAGGAGCCCGTCCCATTGGGTCTCTCCAGGGAGTGAGTGTGTGTTTCTGGTCAGGCCTCACGGGCTCAAGTCTTGCAGAGTGAGGGAGGGGCAGTTTGCACTGGGCTCTGGACTGTCATTTCCATGTCCACCTTCAGCTTGGCCTTTTCTTGTTGAGTGCAAGGCCCCGCCACGAGGGGCTGGTTGGAGCTGGGAGCCGCGCGGGGAGCCCGCCCAGGCACAGTGGCGGCTCTGTTTCCCACTCCGCCTCCTCAGGGGCCCCCATTCACGGGAAGGAGAGTCACACATTCCCCCTTGAGATAAGAATAGAGCACGACTGTGCCCCAGGACAGAGTCCAGCTTCTTCAGCCAGCCCTGCGAGGCCTGGCAAGGGCTCCCAGATGGTACTGGCATGAGTGGGCCCTGGCTGCCTGCCCCACTGGCCTCTTGTGCATTGTGTGGCCCGGACACTGGGTACAGTGTGTGTCTGTCCGGGGCCCCCCTCCAGGAAAACCACTGTCTCCAGGCTCTGCTCAAGATGGAGGGGCTTGTCTCAAATCAGCTGTTCCAGGGCTCTGCTGCGCCCCTCCTCTTACCTGTGGGCCTTGGACTCCAACCTCCCTGCCTTGATTCCTCCAGCCACTGGTGTCTATTCCTGGACGGGCAGAATGGAGCCCACGTTTGTTGGGGGAGCAAGCTCTAGGTGAGGGCTGGTGGCTGGAGGTTGGAGGCAACAGCCTGGGGACCCCAAAAGTGCTGAGAGATGATAAACAGGACCAGTAGGGGCCACAGATTGTTTGAGTGATGATCAGAGTTTTGGGGCTTTCACCCTTAGCCCTGCCTGTGTCTGAGGCTCAAGATGGAAGAGCTGAGAGTCAGATCAACAGCAGGACTGGACCAGGCAAGAGGCATGGGTACATTCTGGCTCCTCTTGGAACCATTCTGGGTGACCTTTAATGTACTTTCCAGCCTTCAGATTCTAGGGTAGGGCTTCTTAAAGTGTGGTCCCTGGACCAGCAGCAACAGAACCAGCATCTCTTGGGAACTTGTTGGATGGAGCTGCATATTCCCAGGTCCTGCCCCAGACCTGCTGGCTCAGAACCCGGCAGTGGAGCCCAGCTGTCTGTGTTTTAACATGCTCTGGACCACAGCTCTAAGTAGGATGACAAACAATGCTTTCCAGAGTCTGACAGGTGACTCCAGTGAGTCTTGAGGCCCACCACAACCTGGAGAGCACATGCCCCACCTGAAGGCCGGATGCAGTGGCTCATGCCTGGAATCCCAGCACTTTGGGTAGGCCAAGGCAGGCCGATTGCTTGAGCCCAGGAGTTTGAGACCAGCCTGAGCAACATGGTGAGACCCCGTCACCTCAAAATCTAAAAAAATCAGCCAGGCGTGGTGGTGTGCACCTGTAGTCCCAGCTACTTAGGAGGCTGAGGTGGGAGGATTGCTCAGAGCCCAGGAGGTTGAGGCTACAATGAGCCATGATCACGCCACTGCACTCCAACCTGGGTGACAAAGTGAGACTCTGTCTCAAAATCAATAAATAAAAATATATAAAAACTTCATTTTATTTATTTTATGTTTAAACATGGGGTCTCCCAGCCAGCCTTAAAAAAAAGATCTTCAGCTTGCACTGTTCTAGATATTTCAGTTAATTGTACAACTGTCTGAGGTAGTGTTTTGGGTTTATGGGTAAAAAACCAAGGCTCCGTGGAGGTAAATAACTTGCCATATGGAGGAGTTGTGATTGAAAGCTGGGGCTTTTCACCACAAGTGGGGGTAGGCTTTCAACCCCCCTCTTCATGGCTGTTAATCAAACCAGCAGTCAGCCAGGGAGGGTGAGGGAGGGCGCCAGGGAGGGCGAGGCTCCTTCTGCTAGGGAGTTGTTGTTGAGTCGGGTCCCAGGGGGCCTTTCTCGCTTTGTTCTGAGAAAATGGGTGTGTTTTTGAGTATTTGAATAGGGCCATCACATAAACTGACTGGGAAAGTGCCTAGAACGGAGGCTGTCTGGGTCTCGATCTCAGTGTGCACGTGTCTGGGAGGGAGAGGAAGGATGAGGGTTTCTAGAAGATGCTGGCTAAAGACAGAGCTCTGTTTGCAACCCCTCAGTGGGAGGGAAGGATGAATGAAAACACAGGGGCTGGCTGGTTTTGGGGCCTTAGGAGTTTCAGAAGCATCATCTCCTGGGTGGGTACCACCGGTGTGCACAGATAAAAGTGTGCTCCCGGGAGATGCAGGTCACACTGTACGAGGAGGAGTGAGTCGTGTCCTCCCTCTGTTTACATCTCGTTGATGATGGTGCTGATGCTATTTTGGGCCTTGGTGTGTGCCGTTTGAGTGTGGAAGTTGTATGGCTGGCCTTCGGATTGTGCCTCAGTGCCTTTGTTGGAGGCGAGGCACGTGTTTTTGGAGGTTCCAGGTAGCCTGGGCCCACTACCTTCCAAAGTCCCCCATGAGAACTGGTCTCAGTGGTTTCTGAGATGACTGTGGGAGGGGGTGCATTCCATGCTGGGGTACTGGTGGCACCCAGGCATCTTCTGAGCTTGTGAGACTTTTTTGGGAGGCTTGGGGCTGGGGAAGCCCAAGGGAGAGGTTGACGGGGTACAGGGAAGCATGCTTGGTGGTCTGAGGTTGCATCTTCAATACCCCATGCTTTTACTTATCTCCTCAACCCACAGGTGAACAAATCGTTTCGTGGGTGGAGAGAATTTTTAAAAACAGATCTGTCGATTCAGGAGCATTTAATAATAATAGACAGCATTTACATAATATGATTTTCCAGACACTGGCCTAAGCACTGGACCTTCATTCACTCATTTAATCCTCACAATAGACCTGTAAGTAGTATTCTTATGCCTGTTTGACACATGGGGAAACTGAGGCACAGAGCAGTTTAATAATTTCCCCAGCATCACCCAGCCAGTGAGTAGCAGAACCAGGCCATCTCTCTCCAGAGCCCAAGTTCTTTTTTTAAATTTTTAAATTTTTTATTTGTTTTTTGAGGCAGAGTCTTGCTCTGTTGCCCAGGCTGGAGTGCAGTGGCCCAGTCTTGGCTCACTGCAATCTCTGCCTCCCGGGTTCAAGCGATTCTCCTGCCTCAGCCTCCCAAGTCGCTGGGACTACAGGTGCATGCCACCACGTCCGGCTAATTTTTGTATTTTTAGTAGAGACGGGGTTTCACCATGTTGGCCAGGCTGGTCTCAAACTCCCGACCTCAGGTGATCCACCCTCCTCGGCCTCGCAAAGTGCTGGGATTACAGGCGAGAGCCACAGTTCCTGGCCTAGAGCCCAAGCTCTTAACCACTGGCGGCTGTATACATTCCAATCTTCTGCACCCCAGCCCGTAGAGAGGAGATGGAGGACCGTTGCAGCTCCTGCAGCTCTGCCACTCCTGCCATCCGAAACTCATCTGCGTGCCCACCTTGGGGTTCCAGTGGGCCTTTGCTTTCATGTGGCAGTTGTGAAGGAAGGAAATGGTGAGAAAGGATGAGAGGAGGGGTGGGGGCAGCTGCCGTAGCTGCCGTTCTCCACCCTCCCTCCCCCTAGCAGCCTGCCCTTTCCTCTCCCCCGGCTGCCCACGTGGGAAGCTGTTGGAGGGTGCAGGCTCCTGAGCAGCCCTCCTGAGAATCTTCGCTGTGCTTTTTTGTTGTTGTTGTTGTTTTGTTTTTGAGACAAAGTCTCACTCTTGTCCCCCAGGCTGGAGTGCAATGACGCGATCTTGGCTCACTGCAACCTCCGCCTCCCAGGTTCAAGCGATTCTACTGCCTCAGCACCCCGAGTAGCTGGGATTACAGGCACCTGCCACCACACCCAGCTAGTTTTGGTATTTTTAGTAGAGACGGGGTTTTCGCCATGTTGGCCAGGCTGGTCTCGAACTCCTGACCTCAGGTGATCCACCCGCCTTGGCCTCCCTTCACTGTGCTTTTGAGAACAGACCTTCTACTCGTACTCTTAGGATTGAGTCCGTCCTGGTCTCGTGGAACCATTTGTGGGAGACTCAGCAGAGGAACCAGGAGGAAAGGCAGTGGCCCCCCATCCTCCACAGCTAACACTCTGGCTGCTCTCAAATCCTCCCAACTTTTGAGGAAGATGAGAGCGGAAGCATTTCTGCAAGAATGGAGGGAGGTGGCCGGTGGCTGGCCTGGCTCCTGGTGGCCGTACCTTCTGTTGGTAGCTGTGTCTTCTACTGGGGCCTGGACCAGCACTTCCAGCTGGATATGGAGTGGGAAGAGATGGGCGGGTCCAGAGCTGGGGGGGGATTGTCACGGGGCGGGGGCAGGGGGACAGGCATGAAGGCCAGCCTTGCATTTCTTCCCAGCAGGAAAACCCTTGGTGCTCTGCTCACTAGCAGTCCTGCCTGTGGTTAGCACTTCCGAAAGCGAGTGCCAGCTTGTGGTCAGAGGCTTGAGCTGCCAAACAGGTTTGGCCTCCTGGTGTGCCTGGGTGTGACATCCTCTTCTGCTCTTCCTCTGTCCCCAGGCTGCCTGGCTCTGGGCGTGAGAATAGTCAGGCAAAAGGAACCAAACTCGCCCAGCAGGTGCTTGGATCAGCACTGCCAGGAGAAGACAGCCTGAAGGACCCACTCGTTGAACTTGGTGCTTCTAAAGAAGATATGCTGGGTCTGAAGCATGGAATGTCAAGTTAGCTGAGGAGGCCTAACACCAGCAGGTGCTTTGGGGTGGCACCAGGCAAGTTCTAAGGACAGTGGGCAGCTTCTAGAGAAACCACTGAGTTGTGATTTCCTGTAGATGAGAAGACAGCAGTTCTAACTAACTCAGGGTGTGGTGTGTTGGGAGAGGAAGGAGGAGAGAAGTGGGCCTTGGACCTTAAACAAGAATCAAGGACACTCTTGGGAGCATCCCCCAGCTTGTTTAGCATGTTTCGTCATGATTGGCATGGTCGTAGGAATCCCCTGAGACATGCTCTTTTCTAACCTTTCTATAATTAGTTGTCTTAACCTCTGTCTCCTTAAATAAAATGTCAGCTTCATGAGAGCACTGAGGGCCTGGGCCAGGCCCACGGTGAGCACTCAGTAACTACTTAATGAAGGAATAAATCAATACAGTGAGCAGAAGAGCTAGAAAGATCTTTAGCAAGGGTAACATCTTGAACTCTCTAAAATTGCCACCCACACTCCAGTCTACCCTGAACTCCTGATTCCCTTTACCATGTTCTATTCCCCCGATCACCTTCTGACATTCTTTAGAATTCACTTTTTTATTGTGTTTAGTGTCTGCTCCCCGCAACCCATTCCCACCTCATGCTGGAGCCGTCACTCCAGGAAAGCAAGGGTTTATTTCCCTTCTGCTTTTTTCATTGATGTGCCCCCAGATACTTAGAAACAGCGCCTGGTGCATGGTATATGCTCCATAAGTATTTGTCAAATGAATGAATGGCTGAAAGTGCCCGGAAGGCACTCAGCAGTGCCATCTGTCCCTGGGGACAGATGTAAGAATCCTCTTACAGTGCATGTCACCATGTGGCATGTGTACGTTGTGCTGGTGTCCAGTGGGAGGGGAACACTTGCCTCCTCTGGGAGGTGCTGCACAGGCTGGCCACCTGCGCTGGGCCTGCTTGGTCCTCATGGTTAACTGGGCCCCGGGGGTAGGACCACCCCCCTGATAAGTTAAGACAGCCCAGAGATACACAAGGGCTTTTTTTTTTTTTTTTTTTTTTGGAGACAGAGTCTCACTCTGTCCCCCAGGCTGGAGTGCAATGGCGCAATCTCAGCTCACTGTAACCTCCGCCTCCTGGGTTCAAATGATTCTCCTGCCTCAGCCCCCAGGGTAGCTGGGACTACCTCCATCACACCTGGCTAATTTTTGTATTTTTAGTAGAGACGGGGTTTTACCGTGTTGGCCAGGCTGGCCTCAAACTCCGGACCTCAAGGGATCCACCAGCCTTGGCCTCCCAAAGTGTTGGGATTACAGGCGTGAGCCACTGCGCCCAGCCCACGAGGGCTTTTTGGAATTGACTGGCAGGGCAGTGAGGGCCCCCAGGGCAGGCCGGAGAGGCTGACCAGGTAGTGAGTGGAGCTGTTCACAGATGAGGATTTTGAGCCTGTGGTTGGGCTGCATTCCAGAATCCAGCTGTGCTCCCATGACTTCCTTCCCACCTTATGCGCTGTGAGAAGCGGAAAAATACCTGGCTGAGAAACCGAGGGCTCAGGCGATATCCCTGTTTACTCCATCTCTATCATCTTGTCTTGCAACGAGTGACTGACTTAGAAATGTAATCCGGGATGGTCTTGGCTGTCTCCACGCCCTGGAGAGCAACAGGGTCCTGGTGCTGCCTGTTACCCTCGGGGAAAAGTGCAGACCCAAGTAGGTCCAGCTGTGTCCTTGACATCTCCACTTGTCCTGTCCAGGACGCAGTTGCCTAGCCCAGGTCTGGGCTACAGTGGCTTCTCACAGCTCAGTAAATGGCTAGTTTGTCCTTCCAGCCGCTGGAGGCAAAAACCTTGACTCCCCTTTTTTTCTCACATTCCACATTCAGCATGTTGAGAATGCAGGTTGGCCCTTCTTGCAAAACAGATCTTTAAACACAGGATCACTTCTCACCACCCTACCACTGTAGCCTTGGACTGAGCCACAGCTGCCACCACAATGCTGCCGGGCTGTTGCAGGCGCCTCCTGGCTGCTCTGCTGGTCCCTAGTCTGTTGTTTTCACAGGAAGGGTCTGAACACATCGTGCTTCTGCTTACCACAGTCCAGTGGTGCCCCATGTCGGCAGAGTGAAGACGCGGAAGCCCTACAGTGGCTGATGAGGTGCTACATAATTGGGTCCCCATTGCTGTCCTGACCTCAGCACCTGCTCCTCCCCGTTGGTCTCACTCCTGTGTCACTCCTGCCTCTGTCCTCCGCCTTCCGTGGTGTTTCTTTAAATGTTCCAGGCATGCTTCCTCATCAGGGCCTTTGCAGCCCAACTCCCTGTGGGGGCTGAGTAATGGTCCCCTGAAGATGTCTACCTTCTAATCTCTGGAGCCTGTGAATATGTTACCTTCTGTGGCAGATGGGATTTTGCAGTTGTGATTAAGTTGAGAACCGGAGATGGGGAGATAATCCTGGATTATCCACGTGGGCCCAGTGTAAGCCAAGGGTCCTTATGAGAGGGAGGCAGGAGGGCCAGAATCAGTGTTAGGAGATGTGATGTTGGAAGCAAGAGGCTGAGTGACGAGAGGAAGGGGCCGAAAGCCAGGGAAAGTGGGTGGGCTCCAGAAGCTGAGAAAGGCAAAGAAATGGATTCTCTCCTAGAGCCTCCAGGAGGAACCAGCCAGCCCTGCAGACATCTTGACTTTAGCCCTGTGAAACCTGTTTCAGACTTTTGACCTCCAGAACTGTAAGATAATAAATTTTCATTGTTTGAAGCCCGTTAGTGTATGGGAATTTGTTACAGCAGCCTCAGGATATGAATAGACCTCTTTATCTCCTTTCAGTCTCTCACTCACTCTGGCAGGTCCACCCCTTTGCTCTGTTTTTTCTTTTCCCCCCCTCATCATTTATCACCTTCCAGCAAAACTGGATCATTGACCTGTCTGTCTGGCTTGTTGTGGGTTGTGTATCTCCCCTGCTAGAATGTAAGCTCCCTGAGGCATGGATCTTTGTCTTGTTAACTGATGTATCCCAGTGTCGAAACCTGCGTCTGGTGTATAAGAGGTGTTCAAGAAACCTGTGTCGAATAAATAAATGAATGAATATGAATGAATGATTCCTTGGTCTGGAATACCTTCTCTTCCCATTGTCTCTGCCAGCTGCCCTCTAAGTCCACTTCAGACCCACTCCCTACCCGCAAGAGCTCTCCTGTAAGTGACTTCCCTGGCAGGATGCGGCTGGTGCTATCTGCTGGTCACCTTTCCTGAGCACCCAGTGGCTGTGAGCAGCCCGGCCAGTTGCAGAGACCCGCTCAGCCCAGGGCACTCTTCTTCAGCTTGCATTCCCCGGGGTAAGCCCTGCAGCAGCCAGGTACTCTGGAGAGTATTCATTTTGTTCCATGCATTTCTTACAGATGAGCACTGTCAGAGTCTAAGGGACCCAGCTGATCTCTAAACCCAACATTTTTTTTTTTTTGAGGCAAGAGTCTCACTCTGTCCCCTAGGCTGGAGTGCAGTGGTACAATCTCAGCTCACTGCAACCTCCGCCTCCTGGGTTCAAGCAATTCTTCTCCTGCCTCAGCCTCCTGAGTAGCTGGGACCACAGGCACACGCCACCACACTCGGCTAATTTTTGTACTTTTAGTAGAGATGGGGTTTGGCCATGTTGGCCAGGCTGGTCTTGAACTCCTGACTTCAAATGATTCACTTCCCTTGTCTTCCCAAAGTGCTGGGATTACAGTCGTGAGCCACCATGGCCGGCCAACCCAACCTCATTTTGATGATGATCTGGAGAGGTGAGGGGTCCCACCAAGGTGCTGAGCAAATTTCTAGGGCTTCTAAGTCTCAGAAGTCCTGGTTGGATGATCTGTTTGGGAGAGCTCCTTCTCTCCACTGCCACCCCCAGGGACAGCGTGCCTCACTCGTAGAAGGTACTAAGAATTTGCCTGGATATTGGAGCTTTGGAATCTGTCATGGCTGGGGAGGTTGGTGAGTGGGGCACGGTTTTAAGGGAAGGTATAAGGTTCTCCCCAGGGACTAGGGGCGGGGGAGACCAAAGGATTTGTCTTGTTGTTAACAACAGTAGTATGGAGGATGGGGAGTTTGGAAAAAGGAAAGGAAGAAAAGACAAGAAATGGTAATAAGTATGGGCAAGAGTTGTGTGCCCACAATGGACACCTCATGCTAGGGGACCCCCAAGTGTATGGACACTGCCAAGAAGGGGCAAGGAGGGATGAGAGAGGCCTTCTCTGTGCTGAGGTGTGCTTCCCCGGGGCACAGCTGCAGCCTGTAAAGGGTGAACAGTTAGGAACACTTCTTTCTGCTGTCTTCTCTGGGGAGGACACGTGTTGCAACACTTCCTGAGTTGGGGAGGAGGTGACACTTTGCCCCCCACCCTCCTTCAGACTGCTGATGAAGTGTGCTTAGTTATGAACCTACAGCTGTGTTTTTGCAGCGTTCCCCCCGCCTGTGCACCCGCCAGTCCCACGGGGGGCTCCCCTCCCTCCTTCCGTCCCTGGTCCTTCCCTCTGCTGGCTGGTGACTCACTCAGCTCTTGTGCAACAGCCCAGGCTCTCGCTCAGAGAAGAGCTGTTTTCCTCCATCCCATAAGCCCCCGTCCTAATTTATGTCTTTTCATTTGGGTTAATGCTTTCCACATTTAGGTCTGGAGATTAGCGTGTGGCTCATTGATGCAACCACCAAAACCCCAGTGCCAGCTTGGGTCTGGCACAGAGAGGCAGCCAGCCAGCCAGCCAGACAGACAGACAGACAGAGGACAGCTTGGAGCATGACCCCCAGCCTGTTGGTCTGCAGCTGGCCCAGCCCTGCCAGCCACAGAGGCAGAGCGAGGAGGCAGCCCTGACTCCTGGCTTGCCAGAGAATCATTCTCATGCCAGTTTCCTGTGAAGGACACGCATCTTGGAATGGCGTGAAGAGGAGATTGCCCCAAGCCTGTGACTTCTCATTGAGGAAACTGTGTGTCGGGAAGTGAGAGGCACAAGTTCTAGGGTGTGGAAAAATGCGATCTCTGTGGCTTTCAAAGCTGTCACACAACACAGTGTGTGTGTGTGTGTGTGTGTGTGTGTGTGTGTGTGGTTTTTCTCTTCTCTTTAGAACAATAATATTACCTTTGTTGCTATGGTGTTGTTATGGGGGTGGCTAATTGGACACAGCCCTGATGCTGGCTGGTGTGTGGTGTCCATAGTGATTATCAGACGGCAGCCATGGGACCTGCTTTGATTTTCTTCCCTGGAGTGAGAAGCAGGCAGAGGATCACTCGGTGGCTGTGTATACCCTGCCTTTGGTGGTGGCACCCCAGTCAGAAACGGGACCCTGAAGCTGGGATTTAGGTAAGGGGAGGACCTTTCCAAGGCTTGTTTACAGCTCAGATTTGCAGAGGACCAGGTATTTGGGAACTCCTCTTCTGAAGAACCAGATTGCAGGGCAGGGCACAACGAGGGGCCTGTTGCATCTTGGGAGCACAGGGCTGTGTGCTCTGGTAACCTGGGCCCACTCACCTGGCAGGCACTGGCTTCCTTCCCAGTGAGACTGTAGCATTGACGGAAAAGTGCATGGTGGCTCATGCCTGTAATCTCAGCACTTTAAGAGGCTGAGGCAGGAGGATTTCTTGAGCCCAGGAGTTTGAGATCAGCCTGCGCAACATAGGGAGACCCCCATCTCTACAAAAAATAATGAAAGAAAAAAAAAGATTAGCCAGGCGTGGTGGTGCATGCCTGTAGCCCCAGCTACTCGGGAGGCTGAGGCAGGAAGATCACTTGAGCCCGGGAGGTTGAGGCTGCAGTGAGCTGTGATCACACCACTGCACTCCAGCCTGGGCAAGATAGCAAGACCCTATCTTGAGAAACAAAAGAGACAGAAGTATGTTTGGTCAGTATGTATACCCAAAAGTATATCTGTTAATTTTATACTTATCAAATAGGTAATATATGCTCAGGTCTGATATCTGAAAGGTACAAAAAACGTAGAGTGAAAAGTTGGTCTCCTTCCCATCCCTGTCCTCAACCTATCAGTTCCCTTCCCGAGTGGCAAACAAGTGATCAGTTTCTTGTGGGTACTTCCAGAAGTAGTCCAGGAATTTCCAAATATGTTTCATTTTATTTTCCTTAACCCAGGAAACCGTGTGTCGGGAAGTGAGAGGCACAAGTTGTAGGGGGCGGAAAAATGCGATCTCTGTGGTTTTCTGAACACAGGTATCCCCTCTATACTTCTGCACCTTGCTGGTGCTACTGATGCTTTTTGTTAAATCATATAACATATCTTGGAGTTTAGTCAATAGGAAGAGCTTCCTCCTCCTGTTTAATGCCTGCCCCACTCATTTCACCAATGGGCATAAAGGTTGCTTCTAATCTTTCTCTGTTACCTTTACCTGTTGCTGCTGTGGATAGCCTCGTATATCCATCATTCTGCACGTGGGTGAGGGTCTCTGAAGGGCAAGTTTCTGAGGTTGAAAGGTTGGAACAAAGAATATATGTGTTTGTAGTTTTGACAGAAAGGGCCAGATTGCCTCTAACAAGACTGTTCTAGCTTACACTTCTGCTAGCAGCGAGTAGGAGTGCCTGCTTTCCCATAGCCTTGCCAGCATCGTGCACTTTCAGATTTTTTTTTAATTTCTGCTTGGAAAAGTTTGTCTTTACTTTCTGTTGAATTTCTCTCCCATGGCTCCCCCACTCTATTGCAGCCTCCCATGCAGGCAGTGAGTGGATGGGGTCCCTCTCTGCTTCCCTGGGCCATAGGGAGTGGACCCTCAGAGGACCCTCTGTCTTGCAGATCGTTGGGTGGACTTGGTCTAGCCTCTCTGCAGGCCAGTCGGTTGTTTTACATATAGATCTTAAGGGAAAGAATCCTTTGCAACACTTGAATTTTCTACTTGTGATGACACTACTGGACTCTCTTTTCTCTTTTCTTTTTCTTTTTTTCTTTTCTTTTCTTTCTTTCCTTCCTTCCCTCTTTCTTCCTTTTCTCTCTCTTTTCTTTTCTTTCTTTCTCTTTCTCTCTTTCTTTCTTTCTTTTTTCTTTTCTTTGTTTGTTTTTGAGATGCAGTTTCACTCTCATGGCCCAGGCTGGAGTGCACTGGTATGATCTCAGCTCACCACAACCTCTGCCTCCCAGGTTCAAGCAATTCTCCTGCTGAATTCAGCCTCCTGAGTAGCTGGGATTACAGGCATGTGCCACCATGCCCGGCTAATTTTGTATTTTTAGTAGAGTTGGGGTTTCTCCATGTTGGTCAGGCTGGTCTCGAACTCCTCACCTCAGGTGATCCACCCACCTCAGCCTCTGAAAGTGCTGGGATTACAGGCGTGAGACACCGCGCCCGGCTAGACTCCATTTTCTACATGCTACTCCTATTATCTTTTCCTACTTCCCTCCTCTCTCTCATCTCCATCTGCCCTACCTTGCTCCTGCCTGAGTCTTCCTCTTGTTTTCCAGTGTTCTGTGTCTTCTGCCTCTCCCTTTCCAAAGATAGAGTCTTTTCAGTGAAAAGCCCCACACGTGGGCAAACACCCCTGGAAAGCATCCCTCGCTGTGTGTCTTCGGTCACGTGCTCGAGGATGCATCCACGGTGGAATTGGATGCAGTGACAGCATTTCTCTGCTCCCAGGCTTTTCTAAGTCAGGGAGCTGGAGGTGAAGCTGTAGCAAAGAATGCCTGGAGAGATGCCCTCAGGCAGCACAGCCCAGTAGAACTCTCTGAGGATGGCAATGTTCTACTTTTGTGACGCCCAGTACGGTAGCCACTAACATGTGGCTGGTGCAACTGCGGAAGTGGTTCTTTCATTTGGATTAATTTATATTGAGGGGCTGTATGTGTCCACTGACTACCATATGGGAGAGCACAGGTCTAAACTGTATGCTTTTAGCATGAAAATAAGAGTCTAAGAAGCAGAGTGTATCTGGTCTAGGTTTCCTCAAGTCGAAACACGGCAGCAGTTCTTCATCAGGGTATCCAGGCCCCATGACCTGGTCCAATTTTGGAACTCCCGAATTTCGCCTATTGGAAACACAATTGGGGTTAGGCTGCCAGACCCACCAAGGAGGGTCGCAATTCCCTTGGAATATAGGCCTCCCTTAAAGACTTATTTATTTATTTAGAGACGGAGTCTTGCCCTGTCTCCAGGCTGGAGTGCAGTGGCGTGATCTCGGCTCACTGTACCCTCTGCCTCCTGGGTTCAAGCGATTCTCCTGCCTCAGCCTCCCAAGTATATTTCTGGTTTTTTGTTTGTTTGTTTGTTTGTTTTTTTGAGACAGAGTCTCACTCTGTCACCCAGGCTGGAGTGCAGTGGCACAGTCTTGGCTCACTGCAACGTCCGCCTCCCGGGTTCATGCCATTCTCCTGCCTCAGCCTCCCAAGTAGCTGAGACTACAGGTGCACGACACCACGCCTGGCTATTATTTTGTATTTTTAATAGAGACGGGGTTTCACTGTGTTATCCAACATTGTCTCAATCTCCTTACCCATCATCCGCCCACCTCGGCCTCCCAAAGTTGTGGGATTACAGGCGTGAGCCATTGCGCCTGGCCATTTCTGTATTTTTAGTAGAGACGGGGTTTCACCATGTTGACCAGGCTGGTCTCGAACTCCTGACCTCAAAGGATCCTCCCATCTCAGCCTCCCAAACTGCTAGGATTACAGGTGCCAGCCAAGACACCCGGCCCCCTTAAGGACTTTTGATATCCATAGATGTACACAGCAGTTACTGACCTACAAGTTGTGGACACCAAAGCAAACTAGCCCTGTCTAAATAGAGCATCTTGTGTTATTTTACTTTTTAATCGACGCGTAATGTTTTACATATTTATGGGGTAGATGTGATATTTGGTTGCATGTATAGAATGTATAATAATTGATAAGTCAGGGTATTTGGGGTATCCATAACCTTAGCGTCAGTCATTGCTGTGTGTTGGGAACAAACATTCTTCTAGCTGTTTCAAAATGTGTGATATATTGTTGCTAACTATAATCCCTCTGCTCTGCTATCCAACTTTAGAACTTGTATCTTCTGGCTGGGCGCAGTGGCTCATGCCTGTAATCCCAGCACTTTGGGAGGCTGAGGCGGGCAGATCACTTGAGGTCAGGAGTTCGAGACCAGCCTGACCAATATGGTGAAACACCGTCTCTACTAAAAATACAAAAATCAGCCAGACGTGGTGACATGCACCTGTAGTCCCAACTACTTGGGAGGCTGAGGCTTAGACAGGAGAATTGGTTGAACCCGGGAGACGGAGGTTGCCGTGAGCCAAGATTGCGCCATTGCACTTCAGCCTGGGTGTCACAGCGAGACTCCGTCTTAAAAAAAAAGAAAAGAACTTATATCTTCTGTCTAACTGTATGTTTGTACCCCTTAACCAAACTCTCTTCATCCCCCCTCTTTCCCACACACCCTTCCTAGCCTCTAGTTAACTATCTACTCTCATCTCCACGAGAGCAACTTTTTTAGCTCCTACATATCAGTGAGAACACTGATCTTTGTCTTTCTATGCCTGGCTTATTTAACTTAACATAATAACCTCCAGTTCCGTTCATGTTGCTGCTAATGACATGATTTCTTTCTTTTTCATGCTGAATAGAATTCCACGGTGTATATATACCGCATTTTTTTATCCACTTGTCCATTGATGGACACTTAGGTTGATTCCATAATTTTGCTATTGTGAATCATGCTGCAGTAAACGTGTGAGTACAGGTATCTCTTTGATATCTTTTTTTTTTTTTTTTTTTTGAGACGGAGCCTTGCTGTGTCGCCCAGGCTGAAGTGCAATGGCACAATCTCGGCTCACTGCAACCTCCACCTCCCGGGTTCAAGTGATTCTCCTGCCTCATCCTCCCGAATAGCTGGGATTACAGGCGCCCACCACCACGCCCAGCTGATTTTTGTATTTTTAGTACAGAGGGGGTTTTACCACGTTGGCCAGGCTGGTCTCAAACTCCTGACCTCATGATCCACCCGCCTCTGCCTCCCAAAGTGCTGGGATTACAGGCGTGTACCACCGCGCCTGGCCCTGTTTTTGTATTTTTAAGTAGAGACGGAGTTTTGCTATGTTGGCCAGGCTGGTCTTGAACTCCTGATCTCAGGTGATCCACCTGCCTTGGCCTCCCAAAGTGTTGGAATTACAGGCGTGAGCCACTGCTCCTGGCCTGATGTCTTTTGATATCCTGATTTCTTTTTGTTTGGATAAATACCCAGCAGTGGGATTGCTGGATGGTATGGTTGTTCTATTTTTAGTTTTCTGAGAAGTCTCTGTACTGGTTTCCCCAGTGGCTGTACCAATTTGCATTCCCACCAGTAGTGTACAAGAGATCCCATCTTTCCTCATCCTTGGCAGTATCTGTTATTTTTTATCTTTTTAATGATATTTTTTATCTTTTTAATGATAGCTGTTCTAACGGCTGTCATTAGCAGCAACATGAATGGAACTGGAGGTTATTATGTTACCTTAAGTTAAATAAGCCAGGCATACCCGTTCTAACTCTGGCGTAAGATGATAGCTCGTTGTGGTTTTAATTTGAATTTCCCTGGTGATTAGTGATGTTGGGTATTTTTTTATATGCCTGTTAGCAATTTGTATGTCTTCTGTTGAGAATGTCTATTCATGCCCTTTGCCTACTTTTTAATGGTTATTTTATTTTTATTTATTTTTATTTTTTTAAATTTTTTTTGCTGTTGAGTTCCTTGTATATTCTGGCTATTAGTCCCTCATCAGATAAATAGTTTTCAAATATTCTCTCCCATTCAATAGATTGTCTTTCCACTTTGTTGACTGTTTCCTTTGCTTTGTAAAACCTTTTTAGTTTAATATGGGCCCATTTGTCTATTTTTGGTTTTGTTGTCTGTGCTTTTGAGGTCTTAACTGTAAAATCTTTGCCTAGACCAATGTCCTGAAGTGTTCTTTCTAGTAGTTTTATAGTTTCGAGCCTTAGTTTAAGTCTTTAATCCATCTTGAGTTGATTTTTGTATATGGTGAGAGATAGGGGTCCAGTTTTATTCCTCTACGTATGGATATCCAGTTTCCTCAACACCCCTGATTGAAGAGACTGTCCTTTCCTCAATGTGTATTCTTGGTGCTTTTGTTGAAACTCAGTTGGCTGTAAATACATGGATTTATTTCTGGATTCTCTATTCTGTTCCATTGGTCTACGTGCCTGTTTTTATATGAACGTCATGCTATCTGGTTACTCTGCAGTGCAATTTTTAAATATCTGAGCTAAATACAAAGACAGATCCTCCAAAATCTGAAACTTTTTCAGGACTATATGATGCTCAAAGAAAATGCTCACTGGGGCATGCATTAAATAGAAAATCACAGTGCATGGTAGACACACTTGACAGCAATAAGTTAAGCATACCCTGAGAACGACCCTGTGTGGTAGATGCACCAGAATGTGTGTGTGGATTTCCATGCTAAAGAATCAGGCAGTGGCCAACTCAGAGATTCATTCCTTACCTATGAGAAACATCTGAGCCCTTGGCCCGTCCAGTGGAACACAGGCCATATGGAGGACCAAGGCCCTTTCTTTTGGGTTAAATGAAGGTTGCCAGGTGGAGGTTGTTAGGGAGAGGATGCAAAGCAAAAATGCTCTATAAACTGCATGCTTCAGGCAAGTGCTTGCAGTTCTCCTGCCTAGCTGGCCACGCTGGGCCATGTGGTTCTCCAGCCCAGCCCGCCACTGGACTGTGGTACAGTGATTCTCTTGCCCAGACCCCCTCTGGACTATGGTAAGGTGGTTCCCCTGCCAAGCCCTCCACTGGACTGTGGTAAAGTGATTCTCTTGCCCAGTCCCCCACTGGGACTGTGTGTAAGGTGGTTCTCCTGCCCAGCTCCCACTGGACTGTGTGTAAGGCGGTTTCCCTAACCAGCCCACCACCACTGGACTGTGTAAGGCAGTTCCCCTGCCCAGTCCCCTACTGGACTGTGTGTAAGGTGGTTCTCCTACCCAGTCCCCTACTGGACTGTGTGTAAGGCGGTTCTCCTGCCCAGCCCCTCACTGGACTGTGTGTAAGGCGGTTTCCCTAACCAGCTCACCACCAGTGGACTGTGTGTAAGGTGGTTCCCCTGCTCAGCCTGCCACCACTGGACTGTGTGTAAGGTAGTTCTCCTGCCCAGCCCACCACCACTGGACTGTGTAAGGCGGTTCTCCTGCCCAGCCCCCCACTGGACTGTGTGTAAGGCGGTTTCCCTAACCAGCTCACCACCACTGGACTGTGTGTAAGGTGGTTCCCCTGCTCAGCCTGCCACTGGACTATGTGTAAGGTAGTTCTCCTGCCCAGCCCGCCACCACTGGACTGTGTGTAAGGCAGTTCTCCTGCCCAGCCCGCCACCACTGGACTGTATATAAGCTACTTCTCCTTCCCAGCCTGCCACCACTGGACCACTCTGTATGTAAGTTTCCAGCTGATAAAACCCTGTGTCTCATTGGCTGGCTCTGTGTCTCGTCTTTGGCCTCTTGAACCTGGGGCCGTTCCTATAAAGGTTAATGGAGGCCCAGCAAGACAGACAAAGTAGAACTTCACCTTGTAGTGTTATGTAAGAGGAAGTGTGTTAGTTTCCCATTGCTGCTGTAACGAATGCCACAAATGCAGTGACTTAAAATGCATTTATTTACTCATAGTTCTAAGGATCCAAAGTCTGAAATGAGTTTTACAAGGCTAAAAATTAAGGTGTCGGCAGGGCTGGTCCTTCTGGAAGCTCCAAGGAGAATCTGTTCCTTCCTGTTTTCATCCTCTTGAACTCCTTCCTTGGCGCCTGTTTCCACCTTGGTGTAAGGAACCACCTTACCACAGTCCAGTGGGACTGTGGCATCAGCCTCTTTCTTCTTTGACCTTGTCTTCCTCTTAGACCCTGTGATTGCATTTAGAACCTACCCAGATAATCCAGAATAACTCCCCCACCTCAAAATCCTTAAGTCAGTCATGCCCTACAAAGTCCCTTTTGCCATATAAGGTAACATTCACAGGTTCTGGTGATTAAGATATTAATATATTTGGGGGGGGGGGCACTTTCAAGCCTACCACAGCGGGTATCTTTTAATAATTGAAGAAGAGCAGGTTTGTGTGAGAGGACGTTATTCGCCAAGTCGGTCACTCCCCAGGAGTTCTGAGTTGCTGGAATTGGTTAAGTGATCTTTAACTAGAGGCTGGGAAGGGTGTGTGGGTGGGAGCGAGGATGAAGAGAGGTTGAGCTATTCATGTTGAAGGTCTAATGCTCTAAAGATGCAAATCTCAAATCTCCTAAGGAAGGTGGAAAAAGTACAGAGATTCAGACTCTATCCTGCTTCCGTGAGCCTGGACCTGTGTGTTCTTCATTAGCTCTCCCGGTGATTCTGATCCTCAGCAAAGTTTGAGACTGTTGAATTTTAGACATGGTCTTGGGGATTATCTGTGTGCCTGCACATGGGATGTGAGACTTCTTGAGTAAGAGCCAAAGCTGGGCTGCAGACAGGTGCTGGAGAAGATCAGAGGAGGGGCCGGTGTCTGCGGAGGAGCCGCCACCCGAGCCACACCTGGAAGGTAAGAGAAGGTGTGGCCTTCCCTGAGAAGCAGGGCAGGTGCTCCAAGCAGAGGGAGAGGCCTTACCAGCAGCACCGAGGTAGGAATACGCATGGCACTTTTGGGGATGTGGAGGCTATTTGGGACCAGAAGATGGAGGAACCGGGAGTTGATATGACAAGAGGAATGTTAGTAGGAGTAACGTGCTAATGTTTGCAGGGTTGACTGGAGGGCAGAGGTAGGATTCTGTTTATAGTACTGCCCAGGAGGAGAGGATAAAGGCCCCGCCTGGGTGGTGGCAGGGATAATGATGAGAAGGTGATGGTTGTGAGAGACTCGAGAGGAAATACGAACATGGCAAGGTCTGGCAGTCCACTAACACTTACTGAGCAGAGTCATCGGGCAGATGCAGGAGGAGGAGCTGGAATGCAGTGGTGAGTAAGACTACCCAGGTCCCTGATCTCACGAGTATACTTTGGGGTGGAGAGGTGGGGTAGAGTTGGGGAATAAGCTGACAGACGCAAACAAGAAAGGCATGAGCTAGTGATACGTGCTCTGCAGTTACACGGGCTCATGCGATTGGGAGGAAGTGGGTGGCTTCTTTGGATTGGGAGCTTAGGGAAGGCCTCTCTGGAGCGGTGACGCTTAAACTGTTGTCTGGATGACAAGAAGCAGCTGGCCACAGGGAGGGGAAGGGGAACAGCATTCCAGGCAGAGGTGACAGCAAGTGCAAAAGTGTCATGCAAGATCAGACCTGCCTCATCCTGGGAATGCTAGAACAGCACAGTCCAATAGAAATTTCTGCAGGGACAGGGATGCTCTAGGCCTGTACCATCTAACATGGTAGCCACTAGTCACATGGGACCGCTGAGCACTTGCAAAATGGCTAGTGAGACCAAGGAACTGAATTTTATTTGAGTTTGAATAAGAGTCAAAGCTGGGCTGCAGGCAGGTGCTGGAGAAGATCAGAGGAGGGGCCGGTGTTTGTGGAGGAGCCACCACCTGAGCCACACCACACCTGGAAGGCAAGAGAAGGTGTGGCTTCCCCCTAAAAGCAGGGCAGGTGCTCCAAGCAGAGGGAGACGCCTTACCAACGGCGTCGGGTAGGAATACGCATGGCATGTTTGCATTCTATTTGAGTTTCAATTAATTTAATTTTAACTTTAAATAGCCGTATGTGGCCAGAGTCTCCTGCATTGGACAGCACAGAGCTAGAAGGTCAGGGTGGCTGGAGGGGAAGAGCAGAAAACAGTGTAAGGTGAGGTAGTCAGAGGCAGGCTTTATTGCTTTATGAATTAGGGTAAATGGTTTGGGTTGGTTTTTCTAGGAGTAGTGCAAAGCCTTGGGATGATTTTAGTTACAAGGCTGACATAATTTGATGGATGTTTTATAAGTTCCCTCTGGCTGCAATGTGAGAATGAATTGGAGGGGATGAAAAGTGGAACAAGAAGATCATCGTAATAATGTAGGGAACAGCATGGCAGCAGTGGAGAAGGAAAATGTGGATGGATCAGGATGTTTTAGAGATAGAACTGATAGGTGAGAGGAATTGGATGTGGAAGGTGTGTGGACTTGAGAATCCTAGATTTTGGGGTGTAAGCAACAGGATGATAGATGGTGGTACCATTTATTAAAATGAGTTATGGAGAGCAGGTCTAGTTTTGTTTTTGGAAGTGAAGAAAATGAGTCATTAGATTCGTTAGATTCCTCCTGAGCATCAGCATAGGGATGATAGGTAGCCAGGTGGCCATGGGTCTGGAGAGCTGGGACAGGTCAGGGCTAGAGATATTAATTTAGAGTCATTGGGAATAGAGAATGTCTGAAGCTATGGAACAGGGTCAGGCCACTACAGGGAGTGAGTAGATAGAAAAGAGGTGGGGCAGGAGTGAGCTCTGGGCACTGTGACATTTAAGAACACACAGAGGATGATCCAAAAAGGTGACTACTTGAGAAAACCCATGAGATGTCATGGGAGCCCAGAGCAGTCATGGTTTCTGGAAAAAGGGGACATTGAATGTTGCTGGCTGGCCAACGACTCTAGAAGAGAGACAGATGCCCTTGGATTTGGTGACAACATGGAGGTCACTGGTGACATTGTGGAGAGTAGGCTCAGTGGAGTGGGAAGGAGGGAATTAGAGGTAAAAGATTCGAAGCCGTGACTACAGGCAACATTTTTGGTGAAAATTTTTTCTGTTAGGAGAAGGAAATGAATAAAGGAATGGAGAACTGGGGTCAAAGGATATATTTATCTTTAATTTTTTAAATTTAAAGGTAGGTATTATGTGCTGATCGGTAGAAAGCAGGTAAGTTGCCTTTGGTAGGAGGAGTTACTGTTGTGGGAGGGAAGGCTGCGAGCGTGGGCTCTGATGTGGGTAGGATAGGATGAATTTGGGCTGTGGGTTGATGAGCAGCTACTATGGGTTCTATGGGTTTGCTTCTTTTTTTTTTTTTTTGAGATTTTTTGAGATGCAGTCTTGCTGTGTCACCCAGGCTGGAGTGCAATGGTGAGATCTTGGCTCACTGCAACCTCTGCCTCCCAGGTTCAAGCAGTTCTCCTGCCTCAGCCTCCCTAGTAGCCGGGATTACAGGCATGTGCCACCACACCCAGCTAATTTTTGTATTTTTGGTAGAGACGGGGTTTCTCCATGTTGGCCAGGCTGGTCTTGAACTCCTGACCTCAGGTGATCCGCCCACCTCGGCCTCCCAAAGTGCTGGGATTACAGGTGGGAGCCATCGCGCCTGGCCGGGTTGTTCCTATCTTTCTAAGTGAAGTGTGAGAGAAAACATTTCCCATCATCTGAGAAATGAAATCGTTGTTTTGGAAAATGGAAAACAGTCTCACTGGGCAGCTAGAGTAGGGTCGCTAGATGGCATGAGCTGTGCTTCTCAAATTTAAATGTGCAAACCAACTACATGGGGGTTGGTTGGTTGGTTTGTTTGAGACAGGGTCTTAACCTATCACCCAGACTGGATGGAGTACAGTGTTACAGTCACAGCTCTCACTGCAGCCTCTACTCCCCAGGCTCAGGTGATTCTCCCACCTTAGCCTCCTGAGTAGCTAGGACCACAAGTGTGCACCACCACGCCTGGCTAATTTTTTTAGAGGAGGGGTTTTGCCATATTGCCCAGGCTGGTCTCAAACTCCTGGGCTCTTAGCAATCTGCCCACCTCGGCCTCCCAAAATGCTGGGATTACAGGTGTGAGCCACTACGTCCGGTCAGGGTTTGTTAAAATGCAGATTCTGCATTTCTAACAAGCTTCTAGGCGACAGGAATGCTGCTGGTGCCTCCCTGGATCCCACTCTGAGGATCGAGATTCCACAGCCCTTCCTCAATGGGAAGTTTAGGAAGAGACAGTTTCCTAAAATGTGTCCAGGATATGCCTAATTACTCGCCTATTGAACATTCATTTGGGGCAGAGTAAGCAAGAGTTGAGTGCCTGTTTGGGATTTGTGGCTCTCCGTTTAAAATGGGTCTTGTCAATGTTGGAATTATCTGGGGAACATAAAGACCCGGAAACCAAACCAAAAAAAAAAAACAGGGCCTGGGTATTTTGATTTTGATGGAGGTTGTGAATTAATTGGTATAGAGTGTGTCCTGGGTACCCTACTTTAAAAAATCTCCTCTGGTAATTCAGATGCTCATCCAGGCTTGAGAAGTCTGGATTTAAAATACCAGGTCAGGGGATGACCACTGGAATAGGTAGCCAAGGTGGTGTGGAGGCAGGGCTGCCCCTAGAACGTGTGGGCACTTGTCTATGTAAGCAATGTGGGTCACTCAAAATCAGCATGCGGAGGCCATTCTAGCTGCCCAACCTTGCGTAGTCCCACCAAAGAAATACTTAGTCAGCTAGCCGACTAAGAGATTAGACTACTATGCTGGAAACTCTGATTTTCATGGCTGGGACAGTAGGAATTAGTTCTCCTTGAAAATTCCAGACTCTTTGTACAAATTACCCTTAATTTCAGCTGAATTGGTGTAGCATAATTCAGGGGTCACCTTGTGCTCCCCTCTGAATTAGAAGGCTGAATCTCAGTGGTCAACAATGGGGAAGATTCTTTTTTTTTTTTTTTTTTTTTTTTTTACGGGCACTCTTTCTTTTCTTCCTTCTAGATCAATCAGATTTCTTTCAGTGCGTTTTCAAAACTCATTCAGCTTAGATCTGGTTTGTTTTCTTCCTTGAAAAAAAATGTATTAATATAATACCACAATCTCTGAGCTAAACAATGACCCTATAGGCCCACTGTTCAGAGCTCCTTGGGGTGTCTGGATTACCTTATGCATGGGCACTATTTGGGGAGGGAGTTGCTTAGATGGTTCTGCCAGTCTCTGCTGGTCCCAGACCCCTTAGAAAATTTCATAGAAGACAGGCAGAGGGCAGGGCCCCATGTACCAGGCAGCCTGGCCAAGAACCAGGGCAGAAGCACAAAGAGCGTGAAAAACTGAGAAGCCAACTTAGATGGGTCCTGGCATCCCTTTGCCAAAACGCATGGTGGGAACAGTGATAGAAGTCAGGGGCTAATGCTTCTCTTTAACCAATGAGAGGGAGTGCCTGGAAGAGTCAGCCATGACTGTAACAAGGAGTTGTGGTAAAGTCCGAGGGACCCTGGGTTTTAAGTGGTAGCAGCCCAAGTCAAACCAGCTGAGCGACAGTCACAGAGTGTGGGGTGCAGGGATTTATTGGCCCTCATGAATGAAAAGCCCACAGGCGTGTGGCTGTAGGTACCGCCTGTTCTAGAGATGTGTTAGGTGGCCTCTAAGATGGCTTTCTGTGCTCCCTGCCTCCTGGTCACTCTTGTGTAATCCCTTCCCCTTGAGTGTGGGCGGGACACAGTAACTTGCTTCTAACAATAGATATGACAGAATGTCACTCCTGAGAGCAGGTAACAAAATGGCCGTGGCTTCCGCCATGCTTGTTTTCTCTTGCCTGCTTGCTGGTTGGCTGTCCTAGGGAGAGACGCATGTGGCAAGAAACTAACAAATGCCTCAACAGCCTCAACATGAATGAGTTTGGAAGCAGATTCTCCTCTGATTGAGACTTATGGTGACTACAGCCCTGGCTGACATCTTGATTGTAGCCTTGGGAGAGACCCTGGGTAAGGCTCGGGGTCTGGGAAAACCATGCGTGGATACCTGCTCCCCAGAAACTGAATCCATAAGTGACCATATTTGGTTTTTTTTGTTTTTGAGATGGGGTCTTGCTATGTTGCTTAGACTGGTCTGGACCTCCTGGGCTCAAGTGATCCTCCTGCCTCAGCCTTCCGAGTAGCTGGGATTACAGGCATGAGCCACTGCACGTGGCCAAATGACTGTTGTTTTAAGTCGCTAATTTTTGGGCAAATTTGTTACACCCAGTAAATAACCAATAGAAGAAGCAAAGGCAGTGTCATCAGAAATCTCCATCTCTAGGCTTTGCATCCCTCTGTTTTAGCTTCATTTTCTAGCTTAGCAATCTTCTCAGAAAACCCTTTTTATCCCGCTTTGGAATTATGAAGTTTTTAGAATCTTTCTGACTCTAAAAACTTTCTGATTCTAAAGACTTTAGAGTCTTTCTGATTCTAAAAACTTCGTAATTCCAAAGAGGGGAAAAAAACCAGGAAAGTCACCTAGCAGCTTTCAGATGGAGCCTGGATGGGGGGGTTGGGAGGTGGATCAGCCCCATCCTCACCACCTGGGCTGAGAAGGGAGCAAATGCAAGTCAGCTGATACCTGAGGGAGGAGAATGGATGTCTACCCACAATGGTAACTGGTAAGATATGGTAGTGATGGAATCCTTGCTCTCACCTGGATGGGATTTGAGAGATCCGGTCTAGCTCTCAGGCAGAGATGGAAGCAGGATGGTTAGTGTTAGAGAAGTTGTAGAGACCTGAAGGAATAGAGGGCAGAGAGGAGACCTCTGGGAAGTGGCATTCTGTGCTGAACTTTGTGTGAGTCCATGTGCCTGAATCCACACAAAGGGAGAAAAAGATGCTGAGGAAATCAAGATGAACAGATACAGATCATTTCTTTGAGTGTCCGGCAACATGTTTTTGATCATCTGTGCTAAATAGGAGATAAGGTTGCAGGTTGAGCTAGAAATATAATGAAATCAACCACAAAAAGTCAAGGATGTAAAGAGCCGTGTATCAATTGTTCAGTTCAATTATATTTTAAATCCGAATAATTCCACTGAGTCTTCTTTTAACCCAAAGTTTTCATTTCCTCTTTCGGAGCCTTTAAACTCCTAATAAGGAGGATAATAGATGGATCTCAACCTCCTCTTTTCTTGTCTCTTTCCATTCCTGATCTTCTATGTAGGTGCTAAGGGAACTGGTCTAAGAAGCTAAGAATATTTCTTGAACCCATTAGGACAGAAGAGTGTTCTGGCCTTCCACTGTCCACTGTCCCTGTTATATGCTTTTAGAGATTGACACAGTCTTAAGTCTTAAGTGAATTTGGAAGAAAGGTAACGAATTACACTCTTAGGTTTTGAATATATTAGGTTGGTGAGAGGGTATACCTTGGGGAGAAGGCCAGGGCAGAGGGCACCTAAGGACTGGGACACTTAGGTGCTGCACCCAGGGTGACTAATCTTGCAAAAGTCACAGAGATTCAGCTTCCCTTTCAAAATGAAGAGTTGTATATGTACACACATTTGCATTGTTATATCTGGCTATGCCTTGCCCAGGATGGGTCTCTTTCCTATTGTGTGGAATGTCTCCACTCCCCCGCCGTCCAAAAAAAAGTACATTGGAGGAGAAATTAAGCAATGTAATTCATTCTTCACTTTCGGCACCCCCAGTGCAGGGTGCCCTGCCAGAACCACTCCAGGGCGGTGGAAAGATGCTGCTCTCGGATCACTTAACAGCATGACGGTGTTTAAACTTTTCACCGGCCAGAAAGATTTGCAAAGTCCCTGCCTGCTCTGGTTGTACCCTGCTGCAGGCAGATCTGCCTCTTTCGGCGTCTGTGGTAGAAGCCTCACAGGGCCATGTGGAACCTGTTTTGGGGAGGGCTCCCCAGGAATGCACCCTAAGCTTAGCAGTGGGCTGGTGGAACAGGCGCTGTTTGGTAAATGGGTGGGCAGAGGGAGGGTTTGGATGGGTGTGTCTCCACCTCTCCATGCATTTTCTGATGACTCACAGGCTTATTACTGGAAGGGGCCTCTGAGATAGATTATTAAATCCAGCAGGCCTATTTCACAAGCATAAGGAGACAGGGCTTAGAGAAAGTCCTGCTACTAGCTAATGGAGAGCTGACATTCGGTACCCATCTCTCACCTCCATGCCCATGGCCACAACTCTGCCCTTCATCTAACCTGTGTTATCTGCATTCTTTTTTTATTTTCTTTTTTTGAGATGGAGTCTCGCTCTGTCATCCAGGCTGGAGTGCAGTGGCACGATCTTGGCTCACTGCAAGCTCCGCCTACCGGGTTCACGCCATTCTGCCTCAGCCTCCCAAGTAGCTGGGACTACAGGTGCCCGCCACCACACCCGGCTAATTTTTTGTATTTTTAGTAGAGACAGGGCTTCACCGTGTTAGCCAGGATGGTCTGGATCTCCTGACCTCGTGATCCGCCCATCTCAGCCTCCCAAAGTGCTGGGATTACAGGCATCAGCCACCGCGCCCGGCCACCTGTTTTATCTGTGTTCTGAAGGAGAGTGCCTGGCTAGGGATATGCCCACTTCCCATGGCTCTGAGCCAATCCTTGTAGCTCCTGTCATACCTATTGTAGCATATAATCCCACTTTACACTCTTCCTCTGCTGTCTCGGCCACTGGGACAAGAAGGTCTGACCCACCTTTGGCAAACAAAGGCTTCTTTCTTGCTTGGAGCCTGAACCACCTCATCACCTCATCACCCTGCATCCTCGTTAGGTTCATTTTGTGGTGGATGGAGAGATCTGGGCAAAAGCAGCCACTACAGGACAGCGTGGAAGACAGCAGTGGGCAGCCCTGGCTGCATGGGGTGAGTGGAGAGTTGTGGCTGGAGGTGTCTTTTGGCAGCAGCTGGGGAAGCCACCTCCTGCTCTCCTGGCCAGGCTAGTCCTAGAGGGAGGTCCCCACAGCTGTCCCTACCCCTTGTAGCCCGCGGCTCCAGCTCACTCTTTATTCCATGTGCTCTGGGTGCCCAAGAGTCTCCTGGAGAGAAGAAAAGGGTGGCATAAGGTGAATGGGGGCATGGAGTGGCACAGAAGTTTGGGGACACCCCAGGGTCTCTTGGGCACAAGGAGGCGAGTCCCAATGTACACTTTTTTTTTTTTTTTTGAGATGGAGTCTTGCTCTGTCACCCGGGCTGGAGTGCAGTGGCACGATCTTGGCTCATTGCGACCTCTGCCTCCTGGGTTCAAGTGATTCTCCTGTCTCAGCCTCCCAAATAGCTGGGATTACAGTCGCCTGCCACCACCTGTGGCTAATTTTTATATTTTTAGTAGAGACGGGGTTTCGCTATGTTGGCCAGGCTGGTCTCGAACTCCTGACTTCAGGTGATCTGCCCGCCTCGGCCTCCCAAAGTGCTGGGATTACAGGGGTGAGCCACCGTGCCTGGCCCCCAGTGTACATTTTTTACCACCCACCCCCTGACCCAGAGCGAGGGCAGAGGTTGCCTAGTGTGTACCTGTCGTGCCTGCCATACCTGCCTGCGGATTCCGATAGAAGCACAGAGCCCACATGGGTTATTACGGCTCTGAGGTCCTGAGTTTGTAAAAATGTGAAAAACTCAGCAGCCTGGAAGGGATCTCATGGAGGCCAGGGCTTTGTGCTTGTGCCCTGCAAGAGCTGCTGCACCTGCTTCACCTGATTTGTGTGTCCAGTGTGTCCTGCTCGCCCTGCTTTTTTGGAGGTGAGCTGTGTGCCCCGGTTCCTCTCGTCACCCTGGGAATGTGGCTGTGTGTAAGATCTATACCTGGCAGAGCCCCGAGAGACTGAGTAACCCCATCCGGGGAGTCTCTCTTCTGCTCTGCCATCTTCCTCCCATTCAGTCAAGCAAGTATTTTTTGAGTCACCTTCTGGGTTAATGCAGAGATGTTGTGAGTGGGCCCTGACCACTGCCATAGGAGCTTGCGGTCTTGTTGGAAGAGCCGAGTTTAAGCAGGGAACTGTAGTAAATGTATTCAGAATGTTATGGGGGCTCAGAGAAGGGAGAGGAAGGTGAGGAGGCCTTACAGAGGAGTAGGATTCCCCAAGACTAGAGAGGGAAGGCAGCCCAGCGCCAGAGATCGGCGTGGGCAAAGGCACAGAGACATCAGAGGAATGCTTGGGAATTAAATAAGGCAGCTGGCTTGAAAAGTTTTTTGGGGTATTTGTTGTGTTTTTGATTTAGAAAATGTCTGGCATAGCTGCAGGGTGAGGGGATGGTGAGATGATGAGGGAAGGAAGGAAATTGCAGCCTCGGATGGGACCCTTTCTATTGCAAAGGCTAGAAAACCAGCCCAGTATGGCTTAAGCCAAGAAGGGCGTGTTTTGGACGCCACTCGTGGATCCGTAGGTTCTGTGGCTACAGGATCCAAAGATGTCAGGATGTGCGCTTTCTCACTTGAGCTGCACGTTGGAAGCTGGCAGCTCCAGACTGGTATCCTCCCTGCGCTGAGACCATTGGCAAAAGACAGCTCCTTTTCCATAAGATGAAGCCCCATGAAATGGAGTGGCTTGTCAGAACCAGGTGCTGGTTCTGAATTGACTGGGTGATGGCCTTAGGCCTGGGTCTGTTGGGTGGGTAGTGCTGTCCATACCTGAGAATGGAGAAGTGTGGCTCCCCACAGGAAAATGGAGTGCCATCCTTGGAAGAAGGCCACTGTGGGGTATGCAGGCCCAAGTGACAGATTCCTCATTGGCTTACCACAACATGGAAGCTCCCTGAAGGACTTGTGCTTGGATTTTGCCTGTAGGGCCCATTAGAAGTTATTTTGAGTGAGGACACCCTCCCCTGGCAAACAGAAGAGGGGAGGCATTTGGAGGCACAGAAAAAACTTGGAGAGATCTTGGCAGTTGAGTACAGGGGATTTGGGAAGTGGTTGACTGTAGGGAATTTGATAAATTGAAAAGTCTGATTTTGGTTTGGCTTCTAGGGACTATAACATAGAAAATATATATATATGTGGCAGAGACTGGTTGGGGCAAACAGAATTTGCCTTTGCATATCCTGAATTTGAGGTGTCAGTGGCCTGTGATTCTCAGACTGAGTGTGCTTTATCAGACAAGTTGGGGCCTTGGCGCAGACTTGGGAGTGATCTGCAGAGACGCTGCTGAGGGAGCAGATGAACCTGGCAAGAGAATGCTGTGGGGGAGAAAGCAGGACCAGGGATGGAGCCCCAAGGAACATACCCGCAATGGGCACAGCCAGGTTGAGGAATGAGGAGGAACAGGAAGGTGGATCAGTGACTTCAGAGAACACGTCATTCTGCAAAGGAAGGGAAAGGACTGGGTTAAAGAGGTTTGTGCTGTTTGTAGGGGATGGAGCACACGGGCAGAGGTGTTAAGATCTGAGAACCTTATTTTTTTTTTTTTTTTTGAGATGGAGTCTCGCTCTGTCACCAGGCTGGAGTGCAGTGGCATGATCTCAGCTCACTGCAACCTCTGACTCTCCTGCCTTAGCCTCCCGAGTAGCTGGGATTACAGGCATGCACCACCATGCCCAGCTAATTTTTGTATTTTTGGAAGAGACAGGGTTTCACCATGTTGGCCAGGATGGTCTCGATCTCCTGACCTTGTGATCCGCCCGCCTCAGCCTCCGAAAATGCTGGGATTACAGGCATGAGCCACTGCGGCCAAGATCTGAGAAACTTACACATTTGTCATCAAACTGGACCTTCAAAGGATGAATTTTATTGTCTATAAATTCCACTGCCACAGGCCAGCCGTGGTGACTCACGCCTGTAATCTCAGCACTTTGGCAGGATCACTTGAGCCCAGGAGTTCGAGGGCCCAGTGATTTCTGGAGAATTTGGGATAGCAGTTCCTTCTGGAATAAAGAATGGTCAGATCAGGAAGGGACACTCAGAAAGCTTCATGGAGTTTACTTTATTATGCTACACATTTATGTGTTATGCAATTTTTGTGTATATTATGTTGTCTAATCAAAGTTTAGAAAATAGATTTCAGGGAATACCAATATACCTTCCTATGTGCCAGGTGTAATTTACACTTCTTGGCACATTCAGCGTCCATAAGAGCCCTGTAAGGAGGGTCCTATTATCATTGTCAATGCGTGAGGAAACCTAGGCACAGGAAGTTGTGCAGCTGGGACTTGAACCTAGGCCATCTGGTTCCAGAGCCCTTTTTGTTAAAGGCCGCGTGGAAAGATTGCATGTGGCGATCTGGAGGCCATCCAGTTGAGTGCTGAGGGGTGGAAATCATATTGCGGATGACAGAAATGGAAATGAAGGGAGAGTAAGGCAGTGAGAAGGTTGTTAAAAGACGGGATGATAAACTGTATCTTCTTGCTCTGCCTGAATGGTGGTTACAAAGACTTACTGTTTTATTAAATTCTGTTAATCCCCTCGTGAGGCAGGTTTTTAGCATCACTGTTTTAAAGATCCAGAGAGTGGCCGGGCGCGGTGGCTCACACCTGTAATCCCAGCACTTTGGGAGGCCGAGGCGGGCGGATCATGAGGTCAGGAGATCGAGACTATCCTGGCTAACACGGTGAAACCCTGTCTCTACTAAAAATACAAAAAATTAGTCAGGCGTGGTGGCGCGTGTCTGTGGTCTCAGCTACTTGGGAGTCTGAGGCAGGAGAATTGCTTGAATCCAGGAGGCGGAGGTTGCAGTGAGCCGAGATCGCGCCGCTGCACTACAGCCTGTGCTACAGAGCAAGACTCTGTCTCAAAAAAAAGAAAAAAAAGAAAAAGAAAAAGAAATATCCAGAGAGTTCCCATGGCTCGCCTAAGGACAGAGGTAGGCAGTGGAAGGGACCTGGAGCTCTGGCCTTATGACCTGTATTCTTTTAACTCTTGTGTTGATACTGTGACTGTGAGGTCCTGACAGCTGGCAGCTGAGCTCATATCCTTCAGGAATGACCCAGCTGTGCATTCAGGGAGATACCAGGTGTTTTCTCTCTGCTAAGTAAGTGGGTACCACACAGGGCACAGCTGCTCAGCTAACTGCCAGGGCTTGCTGAGTGCCTGGGGCCTGCAAGCTGCTGATCTTGGGGTCTTTGCCTTAGGTTAGCGATTAGCAGTCTGTAACCCATGGACCATTGGTCGTATTCCTTAGGTTCATGGCAGCTGCCATAGGTCTGTGCTGAGGAAGAGGGATAAGCAGCAAAGAGTTGTCCCCTATTTGCAAGCTGATTTGATGTACCCATCACTTAGTCCATGGGTTAAGGAAGTTCCCACATCTTTGCTTCTTATGCCAGAAGGGGACCTTGATGGCTGTCTCCTGAGAGGGTGCTGAGCCATGTCTGATTTCTTGGGAGTGGCTAACCAGCAAAGGATTTAAAATGAGAGGTTTCAATAACACGTATTGAAATACGTAGTAGTAGATGAAATACATAGTAGATGAAATACGTAGTAGTGTTCAGTGAAAAAAATGGGGTCAGCTGAACATAGAGTCTAATGTCAACTGTATTAAGAATAAATTTCGTGAAATACTCATAGCAGGATTGTAGGTATTTGATTTTTTCCCCGCATAACAACTGTTCGTAGGATTGCAGGTGGTGGGAGGGAAGCTTTTGGCCCCTCTTTCCATGGGAGCTCCTGATTTTGATTCTTGTTTTAAGCCCTCAGCAAGCTTTTCAGCTTTTTTTTTTTTTTTTTTTTTGAGACGGAGTCTCACTCTGTTGCCAGGCTGATCTTGGCTCACTGCAACCTCTGCCTCCTGGGTTCAAGCGATTCTCCTGCTTCAGCCTCCTGAGTAGCTGGGACTCAGGCGTGTGCCACCATGCCCAGCTAATTTTTGTATGTTTAGTAGAGACTGGGTTTTACCATGTTAGCCAGGATGGTCTCAATCTGTTGACCTTGTGATCTGCCCGCCTCCCAAAGTGCTGGGATTACAGGCGTGAGCCACCATGCCCAGCTGCTTTTCAGCCTTTTAAAAAACTCAATATAAAGGCTCAGGATATTAGATATGAATGGACTCATAGAAGCAACAGCTTCCTTATAAAGGTGAGATAGTGGGGGCTTGACAAGGGGTTGGTCTTGTCCAAGGTTGTGTAGCATTGGGACTAGAGCACAGTCTCCCGAACCCTTTCCTAAAACCCTAAAACACAGCAACGACATTGACATAAGTGAGCAGCAGCACAGTTAGCGAGTATGGTGGACTAAAGACTGGCTCCTACAGATATTCAGGTCCTTATCCTTAGAGTCTGTGAACTTACCTTATATGGCAAGACGGATTTTGCAGATGTGGTTAAGTTAAGGATTTGGGGACTAGGAGGTTATTTTGGATTATCTGGGTGGGTCCTAAATGCAATCACAACTGTGCCTCTGAGAGAGAGAGGGAGATTTTGCCAACACATACAGAGGAGAAGGTGATGTGACCATGGAGACAAAGATCAGGGTGATGCAACCACAAGCCAAGGAATGCTGGCAGCTACCAGAGAATCTGGAAGAGACAAGGAACAATTTTCCCCTAGAGCCTCCAAGGGGGGCGTGGCCCTCCTGACACCTTGATTTTTGACTTGGTTTTGGACTTCTGACCTCAGAATATTGTAAGAGAAAACATGTGGGTTGAAGCCAAGAGGTTTGTGATTGTTACAGCAGTCATATGAAACTAATGCAGCAAGCACTTGTCAAAGTCAACCTGTTGAACGCTCACCTGCCAAGATGTCCCTTGGGGAAAAAATATCCCTGGACAAATAACTTTGAACCTTAGGGAACATCTGCATGGACATTCATTCATTTAACCTGTTTCTATTGAACAGCAGTTGTGTGTCAGGCTCTATTTTGGGTGCTGGCCATTTCTAACACAGTCCCTGCCCTCACTGTTTAGATTCTGCTGGGGAAAGCAGACCACTAAAAGCCACTAACTGTATAACAAAATATCAGGCTAGTAGTGTACTGTTTTCCTCTCTCAGAGCAAAGGGTGGCAGGAGATGGTATTTTAGATGCGGTTGGCAGGGACAGTCTTGGGTTGGTAACATTTGAGCAAAGACTTGAATGAAATGAGGGAGCAGCCTTGTAGGTGTCGGAGGAAAGAATGTTCCAGAGAGAGAGAGAATACATGTGCGAAGTCAGAGAGGTGGACACCGACTTGGCCTGTGTGAGGACTCAGAGGAGGCCATTGTGTCTGGAATAGGGGGAGAAACGGGGGAGACTGTTTAGGCCACTATAGACATGGGATTTTACTTTGAGGAAGGTGGGTGTCCACTGAAGATGTTTTAGTCAGGGCACATTTTTTTTTTTTTAAATTGAGACAAAATTTTATGACACAAAAAGTTTCATGATGGCTGGATGGATCCCAGGAGTTTGAGACCAGCCTGGGCAAACATGGCAAAACCCTCTCTCTACAAAAAAATTACAAAACTTAGCCAGATATGGTGGCATGTGCCTGCAGTCCCTGCTACTCAGGAGGCTGAAGTGGGAGGATCACTTGAGTCCAGGAGGTCGCGGCTGCAGTGAGCCGAGATGGTGTCACTGCACTCCAGCCTGGGTGACACAGCTAGACTCTGTCTCAAAAACAAAACCCCAGCTGGGCGTGGTGGCTCACACCTGTAATCCTAGCACTTTGGGAGACCGAGGCAGGCAGCTCACGAGGTCAAGAGATCGAGACTATCCTGGCCAATATAGTGAAGCCCCATCTCTACTAAAAATACAAAAATTAGCTGGGTGTGGTGGTGGGCACCCGTAGTCCCAGCTACTCGGGAGGCTGAGGCAAGAGAATCGCTTTAACCTGGGAGGCGGAGGTTGCAGTGAGCTGAGATCCCACCACCGTGCTCTAGCCTGGGGACAGAGCAAGACTCCGTCCCAAACAAACAAACAAAACCCAAAAAAGTCACCACTCTAAAGTAAACAGTTCGGTGGCATTTGGTACATTCACAATGTTGTACAACCGTTACTTCTCTCTCATTCCAAACATTTTCATCATCCCCAAAGGAGACCTCATGCTCATTAAGCAGTCAGTCCCCAGCCACTCAGCCCCTGACAACCACCCATCTGCTTTCTGTCTCTGTGGAGTTTCCTGTTGTGCTAGATTTTTAATGGGTCTTTTTGGAAGGATCACTCTGGCTGCTGGGTAGAGGATGAATGGGAGGTAAAACATGGCCACAATAAAAGCAGGGAGAGCATTGAGGGGAGCAGGAGCCCTGGGCTGTGCGTGGCCCTTGGTAGGGGTGGAGGAGAGAGGCGGTGAGAAGGGTTGGGAGTCAGGATGGGTTCCATCATTGCCTCTGAGAGTCCTGTGGGGAGAGAAAAGCCTTCTTGGCTTGGTTTCATCCACATTTGACAGTGGAACCCCACTTTTCAAGCGGCTCTCCAGCATGTCGAAGTGTTCAGAACACACACTGATGTGGTGGAAGGAGTGCTGGATTGGACTTGGAGTAATCATGTTCTGAGGTTGCCATCCCGTCGTTTTGAGACTTTGGGCTAGTCACTCCCTATCTGGGCACTCCACGTCCTCATCCAAAAACTGAGGATGTTAACTGGCTTCAGTGATTTCATGCCCTGGCATGAAATTGATGTCATTTGTGAAATGCACTGGCATTGAGGGAAAGCAGGTGTTTTTTTGCAACACCACAACCTGAATTTTTCCCTCTCTGCCAGGCTCTGAAAGCCACGAGTGAGCTGCAGAGAGGGCTAGCATGATGGAGTTTGAAAGAGTTCAGGATTTTAAAGAGCCGTTTAGATTTGCAGTTTCCCATTCTGACGGTGTAGTATGCTTGTGTCTCTGTCGGCTGTGAGGTGTGTTGCAGAGATCTGTTCTTACTAATTCTGAAGTTTGTGAGAGATCTCCTTTTGTGTATAAATCAGGACAAACTCAAGGTTATTCCTGTAACACATACTCTCATTTACATTGCATCCTGGTGTGTGTTCTTTCCTCATTTTCCATGCTGTAAACTGAAAAGCCTTAGTTTTTATTTTAAGCGAAAGGAATAAAATGTCCATCGTTAAAACCAAAATCAAATTGTACTGAAGGACTTAGAATGCAAAACAGCACACTCACACCTCACTCCTCCCCTTTCCAGCCATGCTGCTTTTTTTTTTTTTGGAGACGGAGTCTCTCTCTATTGCCGAGGCTGTAGTGCAGTGGCACGATCTCGGCTCACTGCAACCTCTGCCTCCCGGGTTCAAGCCATTCTCCTGTCTCAGCCTCCCGAGTAGCTGGGATTACAGGCACTCGCCACCATGCCTGGCTAATTTTTCGTATTTTTAGTAGAGGCAGGGTTTCACCATGTTGGCCGGGCTGGTCTCGAACTCCCGGCCTCAAGTGACCTACCTGCCTTGGCCTCCCAAAGTGCTGGGATTAGAGGTGTGAGCCACTGCACCCGGCCTCCAGTCACACTTCTAAGGGTTTGCTTTTAGTTCTCCTGGTGGTTGCCTCCAGAATTTTAAATACAACAATTGTATGTTGTTTCTCGATTTATTAACTTTGAAACTACCAGGTTCCTGTTATAACAGACAAGGAATGACTTCTTTACACTAAGCACTGCCTCTCCTCCTTACCTTTCTCCCCAAGTGTGATGGTTCTCTTATTTTTACTCCTTCTGTGAGCAGGGCCTTTACTGACAACTAGGTTGTAGGAACTGTAGCCAGAATGTGATACCCATGGAATGCTTCTGAAGGACTTAGTTCAAACTAGGGGTTAAAATAAACAGCACTATGAAACTCATGGTCTTTAAATACTTTTTTTTTTTTTTTACTGTGTTCTCTTTCTCTGAACCCGTAGGAGGAATTTCTTTTGGTGTTAGCACAGGAATGGTTGTGCTTGCCCGGAGCAGGTGGTTTATTTTATCTTGAGGACACTGCAGACCATGTAGCCAAGCACACTTCTCCTTTGGTGCTGGCTGCAAAGCTCCATGCCAGATTTGCGGGCTTGCATTTTGTGCTGGAGGATTGGATTGAAGAGGTCTCCAGTTCACCCTGACCTTATCTTTTTTTCTACTGTTATTTTGTCTTCATTTAGTTTTTCACTCTGGGTGACTGGATGGGGGAAGACAGTGCATGGGAACTTTCACTAATTCTTTTTTCTTTTCTTTTCTTTCTTTTTTTTCTTTTTTGAGACAGAGTCTGCTCTGTGGCCCAGGCTGGAGTGCAATGACACGATCTCTGCTCACTGCAACCTCTGCCTCCTGGGTTCAAGCGATTCTCCTGCCTCAGTCTCCTGAGTAGCTGGGATTACAGGCACCTGCCACCATGCCTGGCTCATTTTTTTTGTATTTTTAGTAGAGATGGGGTTTTGCCATATTGGTCAGGCTGGTCTCGAACTCCTGACCTCAGGTGATCTGCCTGCCTCAGCCTCTCAAAGTGCTGGGGTTGCAGGCATGAGCCACCATGCCCGGCCTCCTAATTCTCTTTTCAAATCCTGCTTGTCTCAGAGAAGCTATGGTTCAGCTTGAACCCCCCTCTCCTCCTAGCTTTTCCCTGCTCTGAAATGGGCCCTTTGAACTTGACATCCCTTCCCTGGGTTTTTTGTCTACATTGCATTTTCCCTCCCTTCCAGCATGGGAAGCAACCGCTCCAGAAATAGAGACAGCATGGCAGCTCGCCCTGTATAATTGGGATGATTTATTTCCCTGTTAAAGACACCAGGCTGTGTGAGGATTTACCTTGAATCCATTTAGATGTCATGGCTGAGCCTCGTAAAAAGATGCTTGGCAATTAGTGCTGCGTGGAACTGCCCCTCCTGCCCGGGCTGCACAGATTTAACAAGAGTCAGAGTGGCCAAGGAACTTTATGTTGGGATGCTCGAGTCCCCTTTTCCTGAACCCCTCATTGCCTCAGCCTGGAGGCTCAGAGTATTGGAGTGTTAGAGCCAAAAATGATGGTTGTTGGCAGCCAGCTGCCTGGGGTTTTGTACCTGCCCCTCTATCCCTCCTAAGGTCACCCATGGCCTGTCCCAGTGGTACCCCTAACAGAGCCAGGGTTGTGCTAGCTCACTCCTTATGCATATATACATATTTATTATTATTATTATTATTATTATTATTATTATTATTGAGATAGAGTCTCGCTCTGTTGCCCCGGCTGGAGTGCAGTGGCGCAATCTCAGCTCACTGCAACCTCCGCCTCCTGGGTTCAACTGACTCTCCTTCCTCAGCCTCCCGAGTAGCTGGGATCACAGGCATGCACCACCATGCCTGGCTAATTTTTGTGTTTTTAGTAGAGACAGGGTTTCACCATGTTGGCCAGGCTGCATCCATATATTTTTTAAAGCAGCCCAAGCCCTTCTTCCCTTTTATTTACTGAAATTGTGTAGCACCCTAGTGCACATTTGAGGTGAAGTGGGTCTTCCCTGGCTGGAGCGAGGATGGGGGCACCAAAGGCTCCCCTGCTGACTCCTCTGCTCTTGGGGTCTCCCTCCCCTCCTTCCAAATATGCCACTTTGTAGACAGTTTCCTTATTTTCGCTTACTTTCTTAGAGGATTCTGAGAGACCTGTGGATTTTTAGAAGTGAGAAGGGCCTTGGAATTCAGCACTGCTTCCTTTTCTCTATGATAAAGAGTTCAGAAATGTTCAATCTCCCCCAGGACCCCATTGCAGCCTTCTTTTCAGAGTTCAGTGGTAACAGTCCTGGCTGTGTTCGGGGAACCCTGACGCTTACTGCTTCAGTCCCCTGTGGTAAGGAAGGCTTGCAAACCATTTGAGGAAACTGTCCAGAAAGCCTCCCCTGCCTCCTTCCTTCCTTTCTTCATTCATCAGTGAACTCAGTGAACCTTTATTGACTGTCTGCAGCATGCAACCATGGCTGCTGGCTGCTGTGGACAAGGAAACTTGGCCCTTTGTGTCCCAAGAGCTTACAAGCTCATCGTCCACCTGGGACACACATGCCATACTCCCACCTAAGGAAGGCCTTTGATGATAAGAGCTACTGAGTTGGTGTTGATCATGAGTGTGCCTCAGAAAACATGCTGGGCCAGTTCTTCTCTATCAGTGATCTGGTCATTGTGGGGAGGGCTACCTGCTTAGCAGAAGTGGGGGTAGCTGAACCCATGTGCTCTTGTGAGTTTGCGTGTAGAGCTCTCCCGGCGAGCTCAGGCTGAACTCACCCTGAGATCTCAGTCTCCTGGTCTGGTGGATTGTCCCTTTGGGGTCTTCTCCATGCACACCAGAGCTTTACCACCTTCCAAGGAATTAAGTGGGAACCACATGTTTTCACAGACCCTGATCAGTCTCTGCTGATGCCCAGTAGAGGTCCTTTGTCAAGTTTGTGACATTATTTCATAACTGGGGAGCCACTCAAGATTTTCTAGGTTGATCTGATAGGCTCCTTGCAGCCTCTGGACCCCCTCTTTTTGTAGGGACACTGGGGTTGCTTTGGCTTGTATGACACGGCTCTTCTGCCCTGACCTCAGCTCCCTCCAGTATCATTATCTGTGATGCGTTCCCGTGAGCTGGTGGCTAAGTAATGTCTCTTCCAAGATTCCTCTTCCTCCTCCCTGGAAATGCCTAGGACTGAACCAAATCACTCTGAGATTATACCTGACCCATGGCAGGATCTGCCAGAATTATTTCTTCCACATGCCACCCTTCAAGGTGTATTAATGAATAAGCTTTGGTCTGAAATCAGAATTCTGCACCTCCCAGCAGTTCCTAGTGATTTTAACAGCTTGTACAACCCCAATTTCTTCCCTTTTCATGCCATGTTTCATTCCCTACCCTACCTTTGGCTTTCACTCAAACTCTGTCACCATTCTTTCTGCCGATTGAGGAAGCCCAGAACAAACCCAGATTCCTTAACAATGGTTCGGTAACAGAGACCATGCCAAGGATCGGGAATGCCGGGTGAAAATGAAGGAGACATAATCCTGGCCTTCAGAGTTGCAGGGGGACACTCATAGACCCCGCTTATCTCCCCAGATATGATCAGTGCTGTCATGCACACATTCCAGGCTGATTAGCTAATGACTGTGGACGGGACTCCTGCACTGCCAAAAATGAGTCACACAGTTCCAGGTATGGACAACAGTGAGCATGCTTTGTTGCCATGGGAACACGAACATGTATTCATCTCAATGCAGAAAGAATTCACTTCCACTCCTCCAGGGTAAGGATGTTTCCTACACCATTCCTCAGGCACCAAGGCTGCTCCTCACCCCCACCCTCTGCGCCCCCATTCATGGTCGCGCCTGCCTGGGTGGGTGCCCTGGCTCAGTGTACACAGTTGACCCCCCTCAATATGTTGTAGGTGCAGCCAACATCCAGTCATGCCTCTGACACCTCATTGAAGTCTCAGTGACTGATTGTTTCTTGAGGCGAGGCAGGAGGATGAAGTGACAAGAGCTAGGCTTTTTCAAGTTAGACAGATTTGGCTCCAATTCTGGCTCTGTCACTCAGGAGCTCTGCCACCTTGGGAAAACATTTTTCTTGCTCAGCGTCAGTGTCTTCATAGGTAAATTGGGATAATCCCTATGTTACTAGGCTGTTGGAAGGACTAAATTAAAATGTGTCAAAGTGCTTGTCACATCACTCAGTAAGGGATGGTTCCTCTTTCTTTCTTTCTTTCTTTCTTTTTTTTTTTTTTTTTTGAGACGGAATCTCGCTCTGTCGCCCAGGCTGGAGTGCAGTGGCACGATCTTGGCTCACTGTAAGCTCTGCCTCCCGGGTTCATGCCATCCTTCTGCCTCAGCCTCCTGAGTAGCTGGGACTACAAGCGCCCGCCACCATGCCTGGCTAATTTTTATTTTTTTTGGTATTTTTAGTAGAGACGGGGTTTCACCGTGTTAGCCAGGATGGTCTCAGTCTCCTGACCTCGTGATCCGCCCGCCTCGGCCTCCCAAAGTGCTGGGATTACAGGCGTGAGCCACTGCGCCCGGCTGGTATGGTTCCTCTTTCATTCTGTCTCCCAGCAGGCCTAGGGGATGGAGGTGGGGAAATCGAGATCCTGAGAAGTTGGCTTCGTGGCTGACACTCCCAAGGACAGGTGTCCACACTCCAGAACTCTGGGCTGTGGGCTTGGTCTCCCTTGGGCTGGTTGGGTGATGTGTCACTCAGGGTTCTTTGATTATAAATATTAGAAACTGATTCTGGCTGATGTAAGCCAAGTGGAATTTATTGCAAAGACACTGGAAGGTTATAGACTGGGCAGAGACCGGGGAAACCTCCTGAAAACAGATAGAAACCAAGGTGCTCAGCAGTGTGAGGCCAGGAAGTAGGAATAATAAGAACAGTCTTATAGCAAAAACAGCATGGTCAGGCCTGTGGGTCAGGATGGATGACTTCCATGCATCCCTTTCTTGCTCCTCTTACCCATAATTTAAAGTATCAGCACGAAGTGTCCTGAGGGGGCCATCGGTCACACACCTGTACCCTGTGAAGGAGCCACCGGGGACCGCTTGGCGTTTGTTGTGGAGAGCTGGCACCTGGATTAATAGCCCTACAGAGAAAGTGCCCAGCAGGGGAGAGAGAATCCCCTTAAAAAAGAGCGGGCTGCTATTAAGATATAGGGAAAGGGGCCGGGCACGGGGGCTCACGCCTGTAATCCCAGCATTTTGGGAGGCCGAGGCACGTGGATCACCTGAGGTCAGGAGTTCAAGACCAGCCTGGCCAACATGGTGAAACCCCATCTCTACTAAAAATACAAATATTAGCCAGGTGTGGTGGCAGGTGCCTGTAATCTCAGCTACTTGGGAGGCTGAGGCAGGAGAATCACTTGAACCTGGGAAGCAGAGGTTGCAGTGAGCTGAGATTGCACCATCGCACTCCAGCCTGGGGGACAAGAGCGAGACTTTGTCTCAAAAAAAAAGATAAAGGGAAGGGATACTGGGCAGCTGAAATAACAGGTATCTGCTGTAGTGATCTTGGACAAATCTCACTTGGGGCCTCTTTTCTGAAAAAGAGACGCCAGGACCAGCTGATCTCAACGGACCCTTTGACTTCTAATAGGACCACTATGATTATTAAATAGACAACTCTACCACTGGGAAGAAATGAATTAACATTGTAAACCACCTTAGTTTTTTATTCTCCCCCTAAAAATTCCTGCCCCCACCAATATAGGCCATTGATAACCCATATTTTTAAAGTCTGTTTATATTTATTTTTATTTTTTTGAGATGGAGTCTCGCTCTATTGCCCAGGCTGGAGTGCAGTGGCATGATCTTGCCTCACTGCAAATTCCACCACCCAGGTTTAAGCAATCCTCATGCCGCAGCCTCCCTGTGAGAGCAGCAGGAGGCAGCCAATGCCTAGGTAGGCAGGGGCAGGTCCCTGTGAAACCTCACCTCCAGGCCGAAGACAGCTTAAATCCTGAAAGCCAAGCTACCATTTAAATCCTTGGACCAGACTGAGAACTTGTCTTCCTGTTTGGTGTGCTTTCCTCTGATTGATCCCTACCCTTCACCTATTTTATGTATACCTACCCTTTCCTAATTGGTTTTCTGTACTGCCAGGCCCACTTCTGCGTGGTGTCTTTGCTTTAACCTTTTTTGCATACTCACAAACCAATCAGCATGCACTCCCCATTCTGAGTCCATAAAAGGCCCTGGACCCAGCCACATGGGGGACTTTCCTGCCTTCAGGTAGGGGGACCACCCCTGTGTCCCCTCTGTATTTAAAGCTGTTTCATCATTCAATAAAATTCTTCTCTGTCCTCCTCACACTTCAATGTTCAGTGCATCCTCATTCTTCTTGGATGTGGGACAAGAACTTGGGAATCAGTGCACAAGCCAGACTTGGCCTGGGAAGGCCAACTGGGCAGGGCACCTCCTGCGGCAGATAGCATGCCCTGGGCAAGGCCTCTGGCATCGCCAGCCAGAAGTCCCTGACTGGCAAAGGGACCGAGAAAAATCCTGCATCACCGAGTCACTGGGATTACAGGCGTGCACCACCACACCCAACTAATTTTTGTATTTTTAGTAGAGACAGGGTTTTACCATGTTGGCCACGCTGGTCTTGATCTCCTGACCTCAAGTGATCCACCCATCTCAGCCTCCCAAGTGCTGGGATTACAGGCATGAGCCATCACACCTGGCCTAAAGTCTGTTTAATTTTTAATAAAATATTTAAGTCTACAGAAAATTACAGAGATGTTAACAAATGTATCTGCCATTCGTATTTTTAAAATCAACTTTACTGAGCTATAATTTCTCATGAAATTTATTACATGCGTACAGGCCAATGAGTTGACAAATGTATACACCCTTGCAACCACTACTTGAATTAGTCAGTGTGTAAGACATCTTCCCAGAAAGCTCTCCTTTGCCCCTTTGCAGTCAGTTTCTCTCCTCTGTACCCACTCATCTCTCCAGGTCACTTCTGAATCTGATTTCTATCCTCTAGGTTAGTTTTGTTTGTTCTAGAGTTTCACAGAAATGTGTCATGCAGTATGTACTCTTGAATGTGGCTTCTTTTGCACAGGATAATGTCTGACATTCATCCTCATTGTTGTACCAATGGTTCACCCCTTTTTATTGCTAATGAGAATTCCATTAGTTGAATTTACTGCAATTTGCTTATCCTTTTGTCAATTGATGGACATTTAGGTTGCTTCCATGATTTAGCTATTATGAATAAATCTGCTGTGAACATTTGTGTATAGGTTTTTCGGACACATTTTCACTTTTCTGGCATAAGTACGTAGGAGTGAAATTGCTGGATCATATGGTAAGCATGCATTTAACTTTATAAGAAATGGCAAAACTATTTTCCGAAGTCACTGCTTCAATTTCCTCATCACAGCAGCGTATGAGCTTCTGTTGTTCTACCTCCTTGCCAGCATTAACAAAAATTCTTTTAGCCATTCTAGGGAGTATGATGTAGTTTCCCATGGTGCTTTTATCTTGTATTTTCCTGAAGGTTGATGATGCTGAACATTTTTCATGTGCTTATTACCATCTCTGGATTTGACAAGTATTAACATTGGCCACATGTCAGTCAGAAATAACACATTATTTGACATTAAAAATCCTGTGTGTTCTTCCAATTCCTTTCCCTTCTTTCCTTCTCTTCCTGGAGGCAACCACTGTTCTGGGGTTGGTATGTGTTTCCCATGAGCATGTTTAAAATCTTTATTAACGTGTGTATATCCAAAATACTGTTTAGCAATGTCTTGTTTTGAAACTTACATGAGATGTGCCATACGATATTTATACCTTGGTAATTTACTTTTTTCACACAATGTGTTTTTGAGTTTTTTTCGTGTTGGTGCATGTAGAGCTAGTTCATCTTAACTGCTGCGTACTGTTCTAGCATGTGCATGGGCCACCTTTATCTCCATTGGTGGACACTTTAGGTCATTCTAAGCAATGGTGTAATGCTTATCCTTATGCCTGTCCCCTCGTGTACCGGCCTGGGTATTTCTTGGGTCCATATACCTAGAAGGAAAATATCTGGGTCTGAGAATGTACATCTGGACTTTCCTAAATAGTGTCAAATTGTTTTTCTGAGAGGTTTTGCAAATGCAGACTGCCACCCACAGAGTATCAGAATTTCCATTTGCCTTGCCAACACATCAGACTTCTTATTTTTGCCATCCGAGGGTGTGAAATACCACACCTTGGATTTAACTTGCATTTGCATTTCCTTCATTGCTAGTCAGGTCGTGTCTGTTTTCAAATGTTTATTTACCATTTGAATTTCCTCTCTTGTGGGTTTCCTGTGCATTCTCTGCTCATTTTTCTATTTCGCAGTCTTTCAGTCATTGCTTTACCGCTTCATTTTCTAATGATGTATTTTGTCATGCAAAACTTTTTTGTTGCAATCTAGTCAAATTTATTAATCGATTACTTTAGGGATTTTGCTTTTTATGCCTCATTTAAGAACTCTTGGCTGGGCACAGTGGCTCACACCTGTAATCCCAGCACTTTGGGAGGCCGAGGCGGGTGGATCACAAGGTCAGGAGTTCGAGACCAGCCTGACCAACATGGTGAAACCCCGTCTCTACAAAAAAATACAAAAATTAGCTGGGTGTGGTGGCACATGCCTGTAATCCCAGCTACTCAGGAGGCTGAGGCAGGAGAATCGCTTGAACCTGGGAGGGGAAGGTTTCAGTGAGCTGAGATCGCGCCATCGCACTCCAGCCTAGGCAACAAGAGCGAGACTCCGTCTCAAGAAAAAAAAAACTCTTATGGTGAGGTCATATATGGTCTTAACTTTTCTGAAAGTTTTAAAGATTTTTGTTTGATGTTGAGATCTTTGATCCATTTGTAATTTCCTTTTATTGTTTGTTATAAGGCAAGAGCCCAATTGTACTCTTTTTCTGAGGAGCCTGTCATCTTGTTATTACTTATTTTAAAAAATCCCTCTATTCTCACCTCGCTGATTTGATGACCACCTTTGCTGTATGTTTTTATAAATGTGTGTTCTGTTGCTGGGGTCTTTCTTCTGGTTTCATTGGACTATTTGTCTATCTGTTCACTATTTTAATTGTAACTTTGCAAGAAGTTTTACTATCTGATGGAATAAGTCCTCATTCTTCTTCAAAATTGTCTTGGATGTTCTTGGCCCTTGACTATTTCCTGTGAATTCTAGGATTACCTCCTTGAGTTCTATGAACAACTATTGCATTAAAATGGCACTACGTTTTGAGATTAATTTGAGAAGAAAGATCTCCTTGGTAATATTGGGCTTCCTATCTAGAAACAAGTTGTATATTCCCATTGATCTAGATCTTCTTTATTGTATCTCAGTGTTACTGGAAAGGGGTCCTGAACCAGACCCCAAGACAGCGTTCTTGGATCTTATGCAAGAAAGAATTTGGGGAGAGTTCATGGAGTAAAGCTAAAGCAAGTTTATTAAGAAAGTAAAGGAATGAAAGAATGGCTACTTCATAGGTAGAGCAGCTCTGAGGGCTGCTGGTTGCCTATTTTTATGGTTATTTCTTGATTATATGCCAAATAAGGGGTGGATTATTCATGAATTTTCCAGGAAAGGTGGCAGGGGCAGGGGGCAGTTCCTGGAACTGAGGGCTCCTCCCCTTTATAGACCATATAGGGTAACTTCCTGGCATCTGTCAACTGTCATGGTGCTGGTGGGAATGTCTCTTAGCATGCTAATACATTATAATTAGCGTATAATGAGCAGCGAGGATGACCAGAGGTCAGTTTTGTTGCCATCTTGGTTTTGGTGGGTTTTGGCCGGCTTCTTTGGCACAGCCTGTTCTACCAACAAGGTCTTTATGACCTGTATCTTGTGGCCACCTCCTATCTCATCCTGTGACTTAGAATGCCAAATCTACTAGGAGTGCAGCCCAGTAGGTCTCAGACTTATCTTTTACCCAGCCTCTATACAAGATGGAGTCACTCTGGTTCAAACACCTCCAAAGTCAGTACATTACATTGTCTCCATATAAGTCTTTTACTCTTTAGTTATATTTACTCATAGCTCACTTATAGTTTTGTTGCCATTGTGCGTGGTGTATTTTTTTTCTTTAAATTTGATGTTGTCAATGAAAAGAGTGAAACTCTGTCGAATATTTGAAGAGTTTTATTCTGAGCTAAATATGAGTGACCATGACCGTGTCACAGTCCTCAGGAGGTCCTGAGAACATGTGGCCAAGGTGGTCAGGGCGCCGCTTAGTTTTTATACATTTTAGGGAGATATGATCAGTCAAATACATTTAAGATATACATTGGTTTGGTCCAGAAAGGTGGGACAGCTTGAAGCTGGGGTTTCCAGGTTATAGGTAGATCTAAAATTTTTCTAATTGGCAGTTGATTGAAAGACTTATCAATAGAAAGGAATGTTGCAATAAGAGACCAAAGTTTCATCATTTAGATGAAGCCTCCAGGTAGCAGGCTTCAGAGAGAATAGGTTGTAAGTATTTCTTATCAGACATAAGGTCTGTGTTGAAGTTAATGCTGGAGGGTTGTAATGAAGCATGTCTGATCCCCATTTCCCTTCATGATCTGAACCAGTCTTTCAGGTTAAACTTTAGAGTATCCTGGCCAAGGAGGATGTCCATTCAGATAGTTGGAAGGACTTAGAATTTTATTTTCGGTTTACAGTGTTTATGTTTATTTTTATCAAAGTAATAGAGTTTTAAAAGAGCATTCTCCTACCATACTCCACCCCAAATGCTTCTCAGAGTCCACCACTTGTAACAATGGGGCTTTATCTCCATTTGGGGTTTTTGTTATTTTAGAGAGAAGGGTTTGCTGTGTCACCCAGCCAGGAGTCCAGTGGTGTGATCATAGCTCACTGCATCCTCTGCTTTGGTCTGTCGCTCTTCAAGTCTGAACAGTTGTCATCTTGATCTTTCTTCACCATCATCTGATTACTTTCCTTTCTTTCTCTTCTTTCTCTGCTCAAGCGATCTTCCCACCTCAGCTTCCCAAGTAGCTGGGACTACAGGAATGCACCATCACACCTGGCTAATTAAAAAAATTTTTTTTTGTAGAGATAGAGGTTTTGCTATGTGGCCCAGGCTGGTCTTGAACTCCTGGCCTCAAGCAGTCCTCCCGCCTTGGCCTCCCGAAGCACTGGGATTATAGGCATGAGCTGCTGCACCTGGCCCTTTTTCTAAATGATATGTTTATACTGTTGTATATCCCCCTACCTACCAATTTTACACACTGTCTATTGAACTTCTTATTGCAGAAGATTAGACCTGGCTTTTCCACCAACACTTTACTTTTTCCTTTCCTCCATATATAACCTCTTCCCTCACCTCCCACAATGGTGGTCCTATGGTGATATCAGGGTCTGGTGTTTATATTATTATGCCAGTGTAAATTACAACTGAGCTACTGATTGCCTTCTACTTCTTTGGTGGAACAACAACAAGAAAGCAAATAAATAAAAACAAAAGCAATTGGTTTTATTTACTTGGTTTTCTCTGTCCCTTGCACCAATTCTTCTCTCTTCACTAGCCCTTTAAAAACTTCCACAGGCTAGGTGCGGTGACTCATGCCTGTAATCCCACCACTTTGGGAGGCTGAGGCAGGTTGATCTCTTGAGCCCAGGAGTTTGAGAGCAGCCTGAGCAACATGGCAAAACCCCATCTGTACTAAAAATACAAAAATTAGCCAGGCATGGTGGTGCACGTCTGCAGTTTCAGCTACTGGGGAGCCTGAGGTGGGAGGATTGCTCAAGCCTGGGAGATCGAGACTGCAGTGAGCTGTGATTGCACCACTGTACTCCAGCCTAGGTGACAGAGTGAGATCCTGTCTCCAAAACAAAACAAAACAAAACAAAACAAAACACACACACACACACACACACACACAACAGAAAAAACAACAAACTTCCGCATGTACTGTCACCTATCACCACATAAAATAATCTATCAGGTCTGTTTTTTCATCTCAATAGAAGCATCTATTTGCTCTGTTCTGGTCTGTTGCTCTTCAAGTCTGATAAATAGTTGTCATCTTTATCTTCCTTCACCATCATCCTATTTCTTTCTTTCTTGTCTGCTTTTTGGTCATTTCTTAGATCTCATGTCTTCCCCTTTTCTTGGTTTTCTCCCTTGTTTTATTGGATCACACCCTGCAGTAGCTTCCTGAAAAAGGAAATTGGTCTGATCTTAATCTGCAGTATGTAAACAAGTTGCCTCATTGCCCTGTTTTCATTATGGCTTGTTACCTGTCCTCTAGGTGTCTCTGAGTCCAGAAGCTCAGGACTAGTTTGCCTTGAGAGTCAACCCGTTGTTTTCTGCCATTGGGATAGGGCAGTCACTTAGTTGCTGAGGGTGTGGAGGAATCTGTAAGCTCTCCTCCAGCCTCCTTTTTAAGTCTTTACCTCATAGATACTTTGTGCTGTGAGCCTTCCTGGGCCTTTCTGAGCTTCTGCATTATAAACTGCTGATTTCTTGTCATACAAGAAGACATACAGGTTTCTGTTCACTCATCTATGCTAAGTCCTTGCCATTTATCCATTTGTTTTCCATTGTCCAAAATTATGTTGACATGTCTCATTTATTGTCAACTCTTACTTTTTTCTTCTTTGTGGCTTTGTTAATGGGGTTTTAGGAGGGCATGGATATAAACAGCCCGTTTTCAATCAGCCATTTTAATCATAAGTATTTATTACATTTTCTGATTATTGTCGTTTACTGTAGTGTAAGGGAACCAGAGATCACCTCCAACCTCCTTGTTAGCTCTTAACGGGCTCTTTGGCTGGATCTGGAAACCAAATTGACATCAGGCAGATTAACATGAGAAAAGTATATAAATTTTATTAGTTTTATGTGTACATGGGATCTTCACAAGACAGTGAAGCCCAAAGAAGTGGCCAAAGCAACATATCTTTATACTTTTTAGATAGAGTGATAAACTTGATCAGAAATAACAAAACAAAATATGGCAAAGGGCAGTCAATTTTCTGGCGGAGTCACTAGAAGTTGTATTAGAGGTGGGGTAAAACAGGTGAAATGTAAGAGTTATTCTGTTCATGATGTTTAGTCAAGTCCATTGCAGGCTTGATTCCGGCTCTGGTGATATGCGCTGTTTTCTCGCCCTGGTACTGGGAGGGCAGCCCTCGTACAGGATTCTCTATTGCTTGGTGCATGCAGGAAGAGACAGTTCAGCTCGTCCGTTCTGAAACTACAGTTTCTCCAATGTTTTCAACTTGAAATCATCAGTATAACAATCTGGCATGTTTTGTGATGGCATATCCTTTACCCCTTCAGTAGTTAGTTACTGTAGAATATTGGTAATTTTTATCACTAGATCTTGAACTGTCTTATTAGTTCTGATAGTTTGTAGAGTTTCTTGATTGGAGGGGTAGACAATTATAATGTATGAATATGTCAGCCGTTTCTTCCTTTGCAATCTCTTTTCTTTTTTTTTCTTTTCCTTTCTCCTTTCTTTTCCTTTCCTTTCCTTTCCCTCCCCCGACTCCCCCTCCTTCCCTTTCCGCCTCCCTCTTTTTCTTTTTTCTTCCTTTCCCCTCCCCCTTCCCCTCCCCTTTTCTGTCCCCCTTGCATTTCTGTCACCTCCCCCTCCCCTCCCTTCCCCTCCCCTCCCTTCTCCTCCCGTCCCTTCTCCTCCTCTCCCCCTCTCCCCGTCTCCCCTCCCCTTCCCCGTCCCCCTGTCCCTCTCCCTCTCCCTCTCCCCTCCCCCTCCCCCTCCCACTTCTCCCTCTCCCTTTCCACTTCCCTTTCCCTTTCCCTTTCCCCTTCCCTTTCCCATTCCCCCCCTTCGTTTTCCCTTTCCCTTTCCCCTCTCCTTCCCCTCCACTTTCCCTTCCCTCTTCCCTTCCCAAGGCTGGAGTACAATAGTGCATTCTTGGCTCACCACAACCTCTGCCTCCTGGGTTCAAGTGATTCTCATGCCTTAACCTCCCAAGTAGCTGGGATCACAGGCATGTGCCACCACGCCTGGTTAATTTTTGTATTTTTAGTAGGGGTGGGGTTTCACCATGTTGGTCGAGGGGTTGGTCTCAAACTCCTAGCCTCAAGTGATTTGCCCACCTCAGCCTCTCAAAATGCTGGGATTACAGGAAGGAACCACTGCTCCCAGCCTTTTTTTTTTTTTTTTAAAACTGAGATAAGGTCTCACTCTGTCACCCAGGCCAGAGTGCAGGGGGACAGTCATAACTCACTGAAGCCTCAATCTCCTGGTCCCAAGTGATCCTCCTTCTTCAGCCTCCTGAGTAGCTGGGACCACAGGTGTGTGCCACCACACTCATCTAATTTCTTAATTTTTTGCAGACGTAGGGTCTCGCTATATTGCCCAGGCTGGTATTGAACTCCTCAGCTCAAGTGATCCTCCCACCTCGGCCTTCCAAAGTGCTGGGATTAGAGGCTTTATTTCATTTATTTATTTCTTTTTGTTGCCTCACTGTGTTATAATATATTCAGTGCAGAAAGGAAACCATGATGGTGAATGGCATTGTCTTATTCCTGACTTTAACAGAAAAGCTTCCAGGGTTTTCCATTAAGTATGAAGTTTATTTTAATTTCCTTTTTCTTTTTTTTTTTTGTGAGACAGTGTCTTGCTCTGTCACCCAGGCTGGAGTACAGTGGCACAATCACAGCTTACTGCACCTCTGCCTCCTGGGTTCAAGCGATTCTCCTGCCTCAGCCTCCTGAGTAGCTGGGATTACAGGTGTGTGCCGCCACGCCTGGCTAATTTTTGTATTTTTAGTAGGGGTGGGGTTTCACCATGTTGGTCAGGCTGGTCTCAAACTCCTGACCTCGTGATTTGCCCACCTCAGCCTCCTAAAGTGCTGGGATTACAGGTGTGAACCACCGCTCCCAGCCCTTAATTTTCAATAGTTATAATTTATCAGACTTTAGTCCTGGTGTGTGTGTTTTAATCACAAATGAGTGTCGAGTTTTGTCCGGTGCTTTTTCTGCATCCAGATTATCCTATTTTTTTTTTTTGTAGTTTCTTTTGATATGGTGAGTTTAATAAGTTTTCTGATATTTCAATATCTCTGCATTTCCAGGATTTGCTAATGTTTATTTAGAATTTTTACACCTATTCTCTAAGTGAGGTTAGGAGCTTTTACTTCCTTTCTTCTCCCAATTGTTTTTCTTTGAACTTGATATCAGGGTATTATAAAAAGGAGCTGAATGTTTTCTATTTATGGAAGAGATTGGATTAAGTGGTTTTTTCTTAACGATTTGAGAAAACTTATCAGTAAAACCACACCGACAGGTACAGTTTTTTAAGGTAGGTTTTAGACTGCCGAATCAATTCGTTTGAAGGTTATAGACCTATTCAGGTTTTCTATTTCCTCTTGAGTCAATTTGGAATTTTTATTTTCCTGGAAAATTGTCAGTGGCAGGAGAGAACAAATAACCAGGGAGTTCCAGAACTTGGGGGAAAATAGCATCTTTGTCTGATTCATTGCTATCCAACACTGAGAAGGTAGGAGGGAGGAGATCGAAGTGAAACCCTTCCAGGGTTTTGTATTATTCAGAAGGAGAAAAGAGCTATTGATTAGCTTTCTGCTTGAAGTCAAGTGTACATGTTAAAAATGTCAGTGTAACCACCTAAGTAGTATAAATAGACTCTATAAATGCAAAGTTTGTGGAGGGAGGGGGAATAAAGAATATGCAATCAATCCAGCAGAAAGCAAGATGGGAGGGAGCAAGAAAAGCAGAGAAAAGCCTGGCAAGGAGAAAGCCTGTCCTTACGATGACCTTTGGGCAGCACCCCCCTCCCAGGAACTTTCTGGACGCCCACTCCTTTCTCAGCACCTGCTTTCTCCTGTTATCGTTGCATACGTCCATCACACTGCTGCGTGGCTGCCTGCCATCTTTCTCTCTTCCAGAAAGTAAGCTCTGCCTGGGACAGGGCTGGGGTCATTCATCTGCATATTCTCAGCGCCTGACATATAGTAGGTGCCCAATAAATGTTTGAGTAAGCATGAAGCACAGATAAATAAGTAAACAGGTGGATAAATACATCCTGAGATGTTACTCTGCCAGGCTCAATGGCTATGGGAAAACATTTTCATCTGAGATTGCCTTGGTTGATAAGTGAGTTAGAGAACTGAGGAAGTAGCTGCAGCCTTGAATTCAGTTGAGAAAAAAGTCAGGGTGAGATGCCTCGACTGAAACTGTCTCGAAATTCCTCAAGCGCCCGTGTAGCTGTCACGCACTTGATCAGTACCTAGTAGTACCTAGAAATTCCCTTGTGCACTGGTAAAATAGCTCATAAGCTTTAAATTAGTGCTGCTCAAACGTTAATGTGCGCACGATTCACCTGAAGCACTTGTTATACAGTCTGATGTAGGAGGTCTTGAGGGGAGCGGGGCGCAGATGCTGCATTTCTAACAAGCTCAGTGTTGCTGGTCTATGGACCACGTCTTATATAACAGCAAGGCTTTCAGTAGCAAGGTGTAGATTGTCACCTGCTCTCCCCAGGTGCTTGAGGACAGCAAAATGATCCTGTGCTTGGAGAATAAGTCCTGTGTTCTGACTTCCAGGATTGTTACCAGTGAGTGTGAAGGATCCAAGCCTGCACTGGCTGGGGAGGAGTGCCCCTTGACTTTAAACTGTGCATCCCGAAACAGGCCTGTCTCCAGCTGTGTCAGAGCCCCTGGGGTGGAATTAGTTCACTGAGGTACCTGCATAGTGATTACATCTGCCCTCATTTTCTTGTTTCTCCGGCTGAGCCACACGGCCTGTTGGGACACGTCGAGTCCTGGGAAGCCCTCATCTGTGTGATTCACATGTCACTTGTCACTGTTCTCTGGCTGTGCCACGCTTTGTGTATGCAATCAAAATCCCATTTCCTTGCCTCATTCCAGCGAGCCTTTGCCTTGCTGTCACTCTGGTCCTGGGCCGGGGAGGGCCACCTTTTCTATTTCCATCGTGCCACCTGCCCTGGGTTAGACATAGACCACTTTGCTCCATTTACTTAGAATGATGGAATGGACCTGGGAGTGATGACACCACTTTCTTGTTTTTTTGTTTTTGTTTTCTTTTTTTTTTAGTTCCCCATTTTTAGAGAAATGGCACAAAACCAGTGGGAAATACCCCAAATTGCAGATAAGCCACTAATGCACCAATCCTGGGGCCAGACAGACTATGGGCGCCAGCACTTCCCTGAGCCTCTCTCCCCATCACGTCTCGGAAACGGTGCTGGCAAGCCGTCTGGTCTGTTCTTTACCTTACATTTATATTGACTCCTGTGGATCGGGGTAGGGTTGTGGACAGATAGATGCTTCTATCAGAGAGGGATGGAACCAGAGGTTTCTAAGGCGATGGTGTGGCTCTAGGGTTTTACAGAAAGCATATTTGAAGGCAGAAGCATCTGTTAGACAGCAGGAGAACCTGGAACTTGAATGCTCATGGGACTCCTGCCTTGGCTCTTCTCTACACAGAGTCTTGGCCTTCAGGAGCTTTGTCCTTCTCAGGGTGGACAGAGGTAATGCAGCCATGGGCGAAGGCTGGGGGAGGGGAACAGGGATGCCAAGCCAGCTCCTCATCCCCTCCAGTGAAGACATTGTGGAGTGGACTAAGTTAAAGCTGGGGCTGCCAGCAGGGGCCTGGGTGCTGGGTTTGTCTTCTGGGGCCCCAGTCTTTCCTTATTCCTGAATCTTGCCTGAACCAGGTATCGGGGCAGATAGTGTCTGGGCCCGGCAGGTAATAGCGCTGAGTGAGGCAGGTAGAGGTGCTTCCTCAGGGCCAATGACTTCAGATCAGCCCCCTACCTCCAGCCCTAGGGATCCTGGTTTAATGGGACAGGGGCTTCCTAGGGCATTTCTAAGCTCTCAGGTGATTCTCATGGGCAGCCAGGGTTGCAGACTACTGTGATAGAGAATGGTGGAGAACGTGGCAGCATTTCTCCTCATCCTGTCGATAGCACCTGCAGTATGGTCCACCTGACTTTTCAAGAGACAACTGAATCTTTTCTTTTTTTTCTTTTCTTTTTTTTTTTTTTCTTGAGATGGAGTCTCACTCTGTTGCCCAGGCTGGAGTTCAGTGGTGCGATCTTGGCTCACTGCAGCCTCCGCCTCCTGGGTTCCAGCGATTCTCCTGCTTTAGCCTCCCAGGTAGCTGGGATTCCAGGCACGTGCCACCATGCCCAGCTAATTTTTGTTTATTATTATTATTATTATTATTTGAAGGGGTTTCACCATATTGGCAAGGCTGGTCTTGAACTCCTGACCTCAGGTGATCTGCCTGCCTTGGCCTCCCAAAGTGCTGGGATTACAGGCATGAGCCACTGCGCCTGGCCTTTATTTGTTTTTTCACAAGACCTGTCTTGGTTTTTGTATGCTTGAAGCTAAGTCAAAACTTTTTTTTAAAAAGGTCTGCAGGTCAAGCAAAGCACATCCAGTGGTCCTGTAGGCAGCCTCTGGTCTGCAGGGTGAGCCCTCGGCTGTCTGCGCTGCCTCCGATTGCACCCACCTCCTCATGTCTGGCTGTTCTCTGTGACATGGGGGTGACTATACTTGTACTTTGCCTTCACCCATTTTCTGTTCTTGTGGCCCCAGTCCTACAGCCAGCTCTGGGAAAATAATGTATCCTGGGCACAGACCCAGGGTGATTCGCATCTTCCCACAACAACCCTGAGTAGTATGTGATATTTTTGGTTCCATTTCTCAGATGTGCAAAGCCACTTGCCCAAGGGGATGGTGGAGTCGGGACTCAAACACAGCTCTGTTTGCCTCATGAGCCTGAGCTCTCAAGTCGCCTCACTGGCTCTCTCTGCTTGGAGTTTTTTGGGGTCCTGCTGGCTGGGAACACCCCACCAACTGGCTTCTGTGTGGGACCCTCTGACCCAGTCAGGTGGCTCCTTTGAGTTCATGATTGGGCTGAGCAGGTGTTCCAGATGCCAGGCCAGAGGATTGTGTAGGAGTCAGACAGGGATGGGGATGTGGGAGTCCCTGGTTTCTAGAGAAATATTTAGGTTGGTGCAAAAGTAATTGCTATTTTGTCCATTTTTAATGGCAAAAAACGCAATTACTTTTGCACCAACCTAATAGCACATTTCTGACTTCTACTCTCTGTATGCTCTTCCTTCGCCACCACCCCAACCTCTGTCCCATAGGTTGTGATGTCCCCATTCTGCCTCTGCCTCCCTCTCCCTAGACTCTAGATTTAGAATAGGGCAGGAGGGACGGCATCTTTGCTGGCATTTTCTCTCTGCAAGACCAGGCTAGTAGCCTGGTAAGCTGAGCAGAACCCATGAAAACAGAAAGAGAATGAAGGGAGGCCGGGCACAGTGGCTCACGCCTGTGATCCCAGCACTTTGGGAGGCTGAGGCAGGCAGATCACCAGAGGTCAGGAGTTCGAGACCAGCCTGGCGAACATGGTGAAACCCCGTCTCTACTAAAAATACAAAAATTAGCGAGGCATGGTGGCGCAGGCCTTTAGTCCCAGCTACACTGGAGGCTGAGGCAGGAGAATCGCTTGAACCTGGGAGGCGCAGGTTGTAGTGAGCTGAGATCGTGCCACTGCACTCCAGCCTGGGTGACAGAGCGAGACTCCATCTCCAAAAATTAAAAATTAAAAAAAAAAAAAAAAAAAAAAAAAGAAGAGAGAGAACGAAGGGAGAGCTGGGCTGGGAGGCTGGGCAGCTGACCCAGGCTGGTGGCTGGATGATTCCCAGGACTTAGTGGCCACAAAAGTTGGCGAATAAATGAGAATGAATGAGAGAGGAAGGAGATGGAACAAACCTCAAGACTGGGGATAGAGGAGTGGGGTGCATAGAAAGCTAGGAGTCCCTGCTGGGACTAATGAGCTCAACAGGGCAGGTCATCTAGTGCCTATGGTCTAGTATAGCATTTCCCGAGATGCTGTGCCAAGATGGGTTTAGGTGGTCTCTGGACGAGACTTTCAGTACCAGTGAATCACATCAAGAGAAGGGTATTCCTTTTGCAGTTCTCTCCTTGCTTCTGATTACATTGAGGAGAAAGTTTTGGGAGGTGCCGGGTGAGGGCAGGCCTCAGCAGGTAGCAGTATCCAGCAAAGATTGAATAACATTGCTTGGTGTTTGTTGTGGTTATTTTTATGGTTATTATAGATTTCTGGCAAATGTCACTAGTTTTCCATTCACAGACTCACATCAATTTTCTGTTCAGTGCAATTTTTAAAAGAAAAAAGTGAGTCAACTAAAAATATTAGCAAATAAGAGGAAAAAGTGGTATGAGAGTATGCTGAAAATTAGAATGGTGATCAGTGAAAGATAGGCTCCCGGGAGATACTGGGTGTGGGAGGTTCAGGGTCTCCGGCTGTGGGGTCAAATGGACCACAGTTCAAACCCATTAACACTGTGACCTTGGGCAAGTCGCTTTGCGTCTCTAAGGCATAGTTGACTCCATCATAAAACATTAATATTAAATGAGCTCATGCTTGTCATGTGCTTGGCCCAAGGCCTGACCCAACATCATAGTAGTGGTGGTTATTATGTGAAGTGTTTATTGGCATGAAATACTGAACTCAGAGGCTGGTGTTCCTGGACTAGCAAGGATCACAGGCCAACATGGAAGAGGAAGCTTTGTGAGGGAGTGAGCTCTCTGTCCGCACAAGTGTTTGAGAGGCTTGTCACCTGTTGAGGATTTAGTGGCAGGATTCTGCCACTGGATGGGCAGACAAAAGGGGAAATCCCTTCAAGTAACCATTCCACGGACATGGTGCAGAGAGAGTCAACGTAGCAGGCCGGGGAGCCCTCCTTAGAAAGGCCTGCTGGCAACATTGTTCCTTGGCTGGTGTCTGGGAACTTGCATTTAGGAAGGGCTCCCACTATTCCCTGAATAGTAAGGGTGGCTGTTCTCTAAACTGTTCATGTGAGTAATACGGTTTGTGCTGAATACCTGGATTTCTTCAGGGAGTCTGCAATTCATGTTTGTGCTAGGCAGGGGATGCCTACATGACCAGCTCCTTATAAAAACTCTGGGCACTGAGTCTGTAATGAGCTTACCTGCTAGACAGTGTTTTACACATGCTACCAGGACTCACTGCTGGAGGAATTAGGCACATCCTATGTGACTGCTGGGAGAGGACTCCTGAACTTGCGCCTGGTTTTCTCAGGACCTTGTCCCAGGTTCTGTGTCCCTTCACTGATTTTGCTTTGTATTTTTTTGCTGTAATAAGACCCTTAAAAAAAAAATAGAGACAGGATCTCACTCTGTCACCCAGGCTGGATTGCAGTGGTACGATCCTAGCTCACTGCAGCCTCAAACTCCTGGGCTCAAGCAATCCTTCCATCTCAGCCTCCCGAGAAGCTGGAACTGTAGGCGTGTGCCACCATGCCTGGCTAATTTTGTGATTTTTTTTTTTTTTTAAGAGACAGGGTTTTGCTATGTTGTCTAGGCTGGTCTTGAACTCCTGGCCTCAAGTGATCCTCCTGCCTCAGCCTCCCAAAGTGCTGGGATTACAGGTGTGAGCTACTGTGTCTGGCCATAAGTCTTTACCAGAAGTAAAACATATGCTGAGTCCCATGAGTCCTTCTGGGAAACATCAGAGCTGAGGGTGGTTTTGGGAACTCCCAGCATAGCCTGCCTCTGTTTTCAGGTCAGGGAAGGAAACCCAGGGCTTCATCTGGGTCAGTGGGTCATCCTGGTTCAATGGGTCAGGGGCTTTCTAGCAAAGGTTCCGCAGAAGTTCTCCTAGGATCAAACTTAGGGAAGCGCCCTGAAGGAGTTGATGATGCTTCTGGGAAGAGCCGGCCTATCAAGTGCATATGGGGGTGCCTGTCCCTCTTTGGGGTGCTGTGTGATGTCACTGTGCTTCGTACAAAGCAGCTTAAAAGGTTTGGGAGGAAGTATTGGAGTGTGTTTATGTGTGGCTGAAGTCTCAGGTATGGTTTGTGTTAAGCCTCTGAAGGACAGAGCACAATCCCAAAATAGTTTTCATGGGAATGACCAAGGTAGAGACCATTGGTTTGGACCTATAATATCAGAGAGGCCACACCCCGATTCTTTACAAAACGTAACAGTGACCACACCTCAGTGGTTAGTGTCAAGGTTAAGGAATGTTGATATCAACTTTCCTCCGAAGGACCTGATTCAGTTATGTATGAATCTATTTCTCCCGGTCTGAGCCTCTGTTTAGACTTACAGGAGATGGTTGATGGTCTCCGATCAGGCCCACCCTGAACCAGGGCTGGGCAGGGTTAATGGAGAGTGTCTGGGATGTATTTTCAAAGAACTGTCATGGTGTAGGGGGACTAGGACAGGTGTTTGCAGACATTCCTAGCTTGAGGTTGGCCTGATTATTCTGTGTGAATCACCAGGCAGGTATTCAGCATTGGTCCTATTGGTCTTCCTTCTGATTACCCCCTAGCCAGAGGGGGTGGGGGTATAGGGCTGAGGTAAGCTCAGAAATGGGGCACTTGGCCAGGTGTGGTGGCGGGCACTTGTAATCCCAGCACTTTGGGAGGCTGAGGCAAGATCACAAGGTCAGCAGTTCGAGACCAGCCTGGCCAACATGGTGAAACCCCGTCTCTACTAAAACTACAAAAATTAGCCAGGTGTGGTGGCATGCGCCTATAGTCCCAGCTACTTGGGAGGCTGAGGTAGGAGAATCACTTGAACCCAGGAGGCGGAGGTTGCAGCGAGCCGAGATCGCGCCACTACACTCCAGCCTGGGCAACAGAGCGAGACTCCATCTCAAAAAAAAGAAGTGGGACACTTGTCTGCATGAAGAAGTGAAGGGAGTTGGAATAAAATGGAAGGCAGAGGAGCCTCTGCTGTGGTGGGCTGGAAACTCCACTCCCGCCACCCCATCCCTCCCCCATATTTCATCAGAGCCTTTTGTAAAGGATGGCAGAACCATGGAGCTGGGAGAAGGAGCTATCACTTGCCTGCAGTGTCAGCAAAGAGAGGCCAATTTTTAATGCTTTGTGTACATTATTAACTCACTTGATCCTTGTAACAGGTATTATTATTAATACTTACATCATCATTATTATTTTTTGTCTTCACGGGAATTGCTGACTTGAGATTGTCCAGCTAGATCAAGCAACTTGTCCTGGGAAAGCATGGATTTGAACCCAGGCAGTCTGGCTCCCAAGTCTACTCTCTTCACCACTACACTGTCAGGACTTGGTGACCTAGAAATGCTCCCCCTGACTCCAAAATTCAGTGACCCCAGGAGCCAATCCAAGCAGAGAAAGGCTGTCCTGATGTCCTGCAGAATGACAGTCACATCTCAGGCTTTCAAACTACTTATATGTTTTTTCCTAATTAATAGACCTTGAAATAAACAGTTAACTGTTTTTAAAAAAATTGACCTTGTAGGCCAGGCACAGTGGCTCACACCTGCAATCCCAGTGCTTTGGGAGGCTGAGGTGAGGGGATGGCCTGAGGCCAGCTGTTCAAGACCAGCCTGGGCAATATAGCAAGAGTCTGTCTCTGCAAAACAAAAAACAAAACAAAAAAAAGTAGTCTGGCCAGGCTGGGTGTGGTGGCTCACACCTGTAATCCCAGCTCTTTGAAAGGCCGAGGCGGGCGGATCACCTGAGGTCGGGAGTTTGAGACCAGCCTGACCAACATGGAGAAACCCCATCTCTCCTAAAAATACAAAATTAGCTAGGCGTGGTGACGCATGCCTGTAATTCCAGCTACTCAGGAGGCTGAGGCAGGAGAATCGCTTGAACCCGGGAGGCGGAGGTTGTGGTGAGCCGAGATCATGCCATTGCACTCCAGCTTGGGCGACAAATTAGCCTGGCCTTGGCTCCTTGTCACAGTCTCTCTTGTGCTTCTTCAGTCCCTACTTTCCTCTCCCTCCCATTTCCACTACAGATGGTGCCTTCCTACCCTACGCCATAGCAATCTGGTCACTGGGGAAATGGGGTTATGGAGAGGGGTATACTGTAATTCCCTTCATCTTATCTCAAGGTCAAGTTACATTTTGGCCCCAAGCATACAGCCCCCTAACTTGAGCTCCGGATAGACCTCCTTTGGGGCTCCCAATCCTGCTGAACCTCCCTGGCACTCTGTGCTCTTGCATATCTTCCACTCTGAGTCCAGCTCCAACATTCTGGCTATTTCTTCTTCCAGTGTTATGTGACTGGCACAGTTGGCCCCAGAGGTCCCAGCCAGGAGGACCTGGGGAAGCATCAGAGGTATTGACAGCAACATTTCTGATCCATGGTCCAACTTGGCCTGATGAGGGCAGCTGATAGTGGCTCTCCAAGATTGTCTACGTCCTAATCCCCAGAACCTGGGAATGTTATTTTATTTAGAAAAGAGTCTTTGCAGGTACAATGACGTTAAGGATCTTGAATTGAGAAGGTTTTCCTGGGTTATCTGAGTAAGCCCTAAATGTAATCACAAGCATCTTTATAAGAGAGAAGCTGAAGGAGATTTGACTGTAGATAGAAGACAAAGGGTATGATTGGGGAAGTAGGATTTGAGTGATGCAGCCACAAGCCAAGGAATGCCAGCGGCTACCAGGAGCTGAAAGAGTCAAGGACTGAGTTCTCCCCTTGACCCTCTGGGAGGAGTATGGCCCTATCAATACCTTGATTTCAGCTCAGTGATACTAATTTTTGGAAGCTTGGCATCCAGAACTGTGAGAGAATACATTTCTGTTGCTTTAAGACACCAAGTGTTATAGTGGCCAAAGGAAGGTTTTTAGAAATGCAGATATCTTTGGAAGAGAAGCTTACCCACAAGTGCAGGCTCAAGAAAGGAACCAAATCTCTAAATTCTCCCTGCTTTATGTTCTTTAGTTTTGATTGTTGCTATCTGTATACCTTGCCCTTTACCAAGGAACTATTAGCCAGGACTCTTTCTATTAAATGTTACAGAAATCCTATTCAGGCTTAGACCTGTAATCCCAGCTCTTTGGGAGGTCAAGGCAAAAGAATCACTTGAGCCCAGGAGTTTGAGACCAGCCTCAGCAACGTAGTGAGACCCCCATCTGTATAAATAAAAAATAAATTCACTAGGTGTGGTGGCACACACCTGTAGTCCCAGGTACTTGAGAGGCTGAGGATCACTTGAGCCTAGGAGTTTGAGGCTGCAGTGAGCTATGATTGTACCACTGTACTTCAGCCTGGGGACAGAGCGAGATCCAGTGAAAAGAAATCCCACTCAAATTGGATTCAGACAAAAAAGGAACAGTCCCAGGAAGTTCAGCTTCAGGCATGGTTTGATCAAGTGGCTTAAACAAACAGTGTCAGCAGTCTGATGTTTCTCTATCTCTGATTCCCTGTCTTCCTCATCAGCCCTCTTCCTTCTGCATTGGCTCCATTCTCAGTGAGACTTCTGCGAGTTGTCAGCGTGACCATCAGCAGCTTCAGGCTTGCATCTTGTCATAGTAATACATCTTTCCCCAGTAATTCCAAAACCAAATTCCAGGTATCCAGCCCCAGATGGGTAATATGCCCCTTCGTGAACTAGTACCGTGGTTGGGGAGAGGGCACGTGCTAATTGGCCAGGCAGGAGCCACTTGCTCCCGGAAACCTCGAGGGCTGAGAATGAGGTGAGGTGGTTCCACAGTAGAAAAATCAGGGTGCTTCTTTCAGAAGCCGGGGTACGTATGGCCTGCTGGGCAGGCCCACACAGCATACAGATGCTACGAGAGCCTGCTGTGCTTTGTAGGTCACAGACCCCCACGGTGTGCTTGGAAATGCCAGATCATGCTGTGAGGCTTTTCCTCTGCCCCAGCCTCTGGCACGAGACTCCCACGTGTGAAAAGCAGACTCACAGTCCCTGCGTGTCGTGGAGCCCGGGAAATGAAAACGTCAATCTGGGAGGCCCCAGAAGGTGTAGGGGATTGAGTGAGAGAGCCAAGAAGCTGCAGCAGCCGCCGCTGCTGGGACTTCGTGTTTACAAATCACATTATCGGAGCATCTTTGAACTTCTGTTGGCACGTGTGTGACTAATGTTCGAGCTGGTGAGGGCCATGTTGGGAAATGGAAAAGGGAAGTGGGGACGAGCGCTCGTGCTAAAATGGTGCTCTCTTTGGCAATGGCCTTTGGAGGAGGTGACTCACTAGGGGCATTGAGGCAACAAAGAAACTGCTGTGGCTGGATGAAAAAAAGATGCTTCCTCTGCCCCCCTCACCACCCGTGCAAGGGGAAGCCCATGACCTGAGTGTCTTGAAGGAAGCATTTGACCAGGGAGGGTGACCCAGGGTGGAGCCATACTAGACGGTGGTCAGGAAGCTGCCGTGGTGAACAGGTTAGAGTGGAGGTGATGAGTTAAGAGTTCCAGAGCCAGATGTGCAGGGCTGAGCCCTCAGTGTCGTATCTTGTTAGCAGCCTGACCTTGGATGAGATCCTCACCCTGACACCCTGATCTCGGCACCGCCATTATTAGCTGTTTAAGTGTATGCACTCTGCCCCAGTTTGCCTGGGGCAAACTGCCGAACTGTTTGAACCTTGAATTCATTCTCTGGAATAAGCATAATCATAGAAACTAGATGATTTGTCAGGGTTTTGCCGGAGCTGCTGCTTCTCTGCTTTGGAGCAGAGATGGTAGCTTTGGCAGAAAATGGTGGATCATTGCAACTGAGAAGTTAAATAAGAGGTTTCCTCAGCAGAGAGAGCAGGATGGAAGGGGTCCTCCTGAGGTGTAGGACATGGGGACGTCTTTGTGAGTATCATGCGCACGCACACACACACACAGACACACAAACGCGTGCGCGCGCACACACACGTGCCAGGTGCCACCATGCCGTTGCCTATTATTTTGATGGAGGTAGGCAGGAGCAGGAACTCCTTTTGCAAGAATGACAAAGAAGTGGCATTAGCAAGTTCTGCCTGTCTGTTCCTCTAGGGGAAACCCCATGAAACCACCACAGAGCCACTCTGCTTCCCTTTCTTGGCCCACTCTGGCAAACCCAGCCAGCAGGTAAGTGGGAGCACAGAGCGAGGCAAGGGTTGCCTTTGCTGTGGGGAGGGGTCCATCCTACTGTGTGCCCCCTGATGTCTGCACAGTGTGGATGGAGCTCCCTGGACATCCCTGCCTTCCCCTGGGCTGCCCCAAGTACTGCAGGCCTCACTCACGTGGTGCAGGACTGCTCGGCTACCCACAGGATCCTGGGGGGTGAGAGGGCATTTGCGGTGGGAGCTGAGATCTGCAGGGTCATTAGGAATTAGTGTCAGCTAATGGTGGCTCAGCACTCCTGGGGGAGAGAAGAAAGGAAAGGGAGAGAATAGGGATGTGAGCAGCCCTGATTTGCTGGTTCAGGGATTTCTGAGACCAAAAAGCAACCCACCAGCAAAGCAGAATTAGCTGTGTTATTTAAAGTTATTCACATCAGGATATTTAAATGATCTGTGCCCACTGTGTTCGTGTGGTTTCTATGGGCAAGATGTGTTTTATGTTTTTAAAGTTTGTTTAACTTTTCTCTATATCCATGGAGAATCATTGGAAGATCAAATGATATCTCGATCAGTTGTAGAACTTATTTTATTTTCTATTTTATTTTATTTTTGAGACAGAGTCTCACTCTGTCGCCTGGGCTGGAGTGCAGCGACGCAATCTCGGCTCACTGCAACCTCCACCTCCCGGGTTCAAGTGATTCTCATGTCTCAGCCTCCTGAGTTGTCGAGATTACACGTGTGCACCACCATGCCTAGCTAATTTGTGTATTTTTAGTAGAGACGAGGTTTCGCCACGTTGGCCAGGCTGGTCTTGAACTCCTGACCTCAAGTAATCCACCCGCCTTGGCCTCCCAAAGTGCTGGGATTACAAGCATGAACCATTGTGCCCAGCCTAGAATTTACTTTAAAGTAATTACCAGAATGGTAAATTTCCTCCTTCATGTAGGTCAGAACTTGTCTGTGATCTCTAAAAGTCCTGAGCTTGATCCCTCCGTGGACATGCACCTGGGTCGGGGGCACCGGGAACCAACTGAAGCCTGGTCAGTGTGTCTGTACCAGGGTTTTCGGCCATGTTACTGTTGACATTTCGGGTTGGATGGTTGTTTTGTTGTGGGCGGCGGTCCTGTGCATTGTTGAGTGTTTAGCAGCGTCCTTGGCCAGTAAATGTCACCAAGTATTGCCCCATTGGCCCCTGGGGAAAAAGCGCCCCTAGTTCAGAAACACAGGCTACACATGGAGTGCCATATTGTTCCCCTAGAAACCAGGAGAGGAAAGAGTTCCTCTGTTCTGGCCTGAGAGGGAGGCTGGGAGTGGGAACGCCCAGCACAGTTCGCTGTGGGAGAAATGAACCAGGGGCCTGAAAGGGGGTGGGTGCCACAGCTGCCCCTTCCTACAGCTTCCCCCCAGAGGCTCCAGAGCTGTCACACTGTCATTAACGACACCGCATTCCTGTCGGTGCTTGTGTGCATCTTTGGACGAAGCTAGAAAAGAAGCTGAACTATCTTCAACTGTGCCATAAAAGAGGATATAAAAAAACTCAATAAAACACGAAAATGTCAGCCGAAGCAGGATTGCTTGCTGGGGCCTTGGCAAGGAGGGGCAGACAGCAGGCTGGACGCCCCTGGCGCTGTTTGTGGGAGTCATGGGTGGGGAGGAGAGGCCAGGAGAGCCCAGCCCATGCTGGGGGCCACCAAGCCTGGGCTCTGGGCCAAACACACAGTCCCCTGGTTTCTTGAGCCCAACCCCAATGCTGTAATTCTGTTTATTTTGCTGAATATGAAATCCATATGGTTCTGATTTCTTCCTTGTAATCCGTCATCTCTGTGTGGCTTCGGAGCCAGCAACCACGCAAAGTGGCTTTGAAGTTGTTGTTCTGGGTAAGTAGGAAGTTGTGTTCTTCCAGGGTTCAGTGGGGCAACCATGAGGTTTGCATTTGGTTTGGGAACTGCTCCAGGAGAGGGAAGCAGATTGGCACAGTCAGTTTTGGTCCTGGCTTAGGAGCTTGGGCTGGGTCAGAAGGGAGACCATTTACAGAGCCTTCGGTGGATTTGCACAGCCAAGGCCACTCTCTAGCCCTCAGCTTAGGTCAGAGATACTCTTGGTTCTAGGTGTCTCTTTGGAAACAACAGAGGTCTCTGCAGGGAGCTAATGCACTCACTCAGCCTCTCCCACCTCCGTCATGACAACCCATAAATGTGTCCAAGGCTTGCCAAATGTCCTCAGGGGGGACAAAGTCGCCCCTGGTTCAGAAACACAGGCTACATGTGGGATCGCTGGGCCACATGGTAAATGTATGTTTAATGTTACAGGAAACTGCCACACTGCTCTGCAGAAGGACCATACCATTTTGTGTTCGCACGAGCAACGTGTGAGAATTCCAGTTGCTCTGCATCCTTGTCGGCACTTGGTATTGTCATTCTTTTTAATTTCAGTCTTTCTAGATAACACTTGATTTTGACATTTAGAAATGAGCCCCAGAAAGGTCCAAGATTTGTTCAAGGCCCCTAGCTCCTTGAAGACCAGAATCTAGGCATTCTGTCTTGGGGACTGCGGGCTTTCTGGGTGGTGGCCAGGTGTACAGAATGAAAGTGACAGGGTTATTCCATGTGCCAGACCTGGGAATCAGTAACTTCTGTCTGGCCCTGGGGCTTCAGCAATATCCAAGAGGAATGTAGAAAAAGGAGGTGGTGGTAGCAGGGAAAAGTTGCACATCCCGGAGTCATGAGGTTGAAGACCCTGCGCTGCTGCTCCCTCCTCCCACTCCCAGCTCATTTTAAGCTGGAAGCTCAGAGAGGTACAGAAGCCTGCCCAGTGTCACTCGGCTAGCTGGTGGCCTCTCGACTCTTCGTTATGGCAGGCAGTGGCAGAAGGCCAGCCTTGTTTCCAGAAGCACCCTTACTAAAGCACCAGGGCTGCTTCTCCTCGGCGCTTTAAGGAGTAGAGTTTTTGCAAATTGCTCTACCTGGTTGGATTATCACACTCCCTCAGTGTCTTGGCCTTGGGTCCACTCTAGACCGGAAGGAGCATGTGCAGGGGATGATGGCTGCTGCTGAAAGCAGAGTGGGTGACCTAATGGGGAGGTGGAGGTTCATCAGGACCAGGCACTTCTCCAGAGGCATCCCACCCACCCTCAGGGGGAAAGGGCCCAGCTGCCCTGGAAGGCTGTGGACATGCTTTCCCGATTGCAGAATACTTCTCTTTCATTTTGAATATCATTTGTTTGGTTGCCACGGCAACGTCAAGTCTCTATTTTAATGCTAACCTGCGTGGCTGCAACTTTCTATATATAAATGCTGCTTTGCACAGTGAATTAGCCGATGCCACGGGGAAGCAGCGGATGTGGGGATGGTGGCAGAAAATGACCAGCGTGTCAGATTTGCATAAGGACACACCACAAGGCTGAGGTGAGTTGGAACCAGGGCTCTGCTGGTTATCTTTGATGCAGATGCTCGAAGCTAATTGGACCAGGTTGAGTGCGAGGCAGCCGCCACTCCTGCAGGAGGAGAAATCTTCCTTGGATGACCTCTTGCTTGGCTAGGGTTTGGCTCTGCTCTGGGGGGGATTTGGGGGATTCTTCTGTCTTCCCGTGTATCAGTCCTCCTCATGCATCCAGTGAGTCTGGGTCGCACCATGACCCAAGGGTCTGGAAAGAAGAGAAAGCCACTTGGGCAGGGGAAGTATCTGAGATGAGCTCTGTGGGAAGTGAGTTTTTCTTGATTTCCGGGGATTTACCTCAGTTTCCTGTTTTGGATCTTCTCCTCCTCAGTTTGCCTTTTCTTAATTCCCCAGTGTAGCGAGAATTTGTAGAGGCCACGTGGCTCCAAGTAGCATAATAGAGTTCTCAGGAGAAGCCTGAAAAGGCCCTTGGGAACCAGCAGATACAGTTCCCCCAGGTTCTAGATGAGGGAGATGCTCAGAGAGGTGACACGCTCTGCCAGATGTCACACAGCTGCCCTGGGGAAAGTGGGATGGGAAACCAGGTCCACACTGGTCTTCTGACTTACTCATGCATGCCACGTTTGTGCGCATTCTGTCATGGGACCAGGCAGCGTGTGGGTGTACACAACAGTGAAAGGGGATACAGCGTGGACAGCATACCCTGATGTTCCTTTCTGGTTTTGCAAGCCGGAGACGTGTAATGAACACAGGATTGTATAACTTGATCTGGATCGGCCTCTGGAAAGAGCATGGAAGTTTGAATCTACAAAACTTGGATTTGCGTGGATTCAGCCACTTTCTACCTGTGTGACCATTTTGTCAACTTTTCTGAGGCTCTATTTCCCCACCTAACCTCAAGATGTGCTAAATATCTTCCCCTGGCATTGCAATGAGTCAATGTTACGGCCAGTGTGAACCTATTGAGGACTGTGATAGGGGTGTGATGTGTCTGAGAGCAGAGTGGGTTGCAAACTATAAGGCATCTCACCATAGCAGGCCACAGCTCTGTTCTCCTGAGTCTGGGAGAGGATGGCACCGGTATCAGAACACTGGCCCAGCCAGAGGAGTTGTCCGAAGATGGAGTTCTTCAGACGGCTCCTCTGATCAGTATGGTGTGAAATGTAGTACAATTTTATTGCTGTCAGAATATGTCATTCGGGCTTCTCCTATAACATCAAACATTTGACAGATTTTTTTTTTTTTTTTGAGACGGAGTCTCGCTCTGTAGCCCAGGCTGGAGTGCAGTGGCGTGATTTCGGTTTACTGCAAGCTCCGCCTCTGGGTTCACGCCATTCTCTTGCCTCAGCCTCCTGAGTAGCTTGGACTACAGGCACCTGCCACCACACCTGGCTAATTTTTTTTTGTTTGCTTTGTTTTGTTTTGTTTTTGTTTTTGTTTTTGTTTTTAGTATTTATTGATCATTCTTGGGTATTTCTCGCATTGGGAGATTTGGCAGGGTCATAGGACAATAGTGGAGGGAAGGTCAGCAGATAAACAAGTGAACAAGGGTCTCTGGTTTTCCTAGGCAGAGGACCCTGCGGCCTTCCGCAGTGTTTGTGTCCCTGGGTACTTGAGATTAGGGAGTGGTGATGACTCTTAACAAGCATGCTGCCTTCAAGCATCTGTTTAACAAAGCACATCTTGCACTGCCCTTAATCCATTTAACCCTGAGTGGACACAGCACATGTTTCAGAGAGCACGGGGTTGGGGGTAAGGCCATAGATTAACAGCATCCCAAGGCAGAAGAATTTTTCTTAGTACAGAACAAAATGGAGTCTCCTATGTCTACTTCTTTCTACACAGACACAGCAACAATCTGATTTCTCTATCTTTTCCCCACATTTCCCCCTTTTCTATTCGACAAAACCCCCATCGTCATCATGGCCCGTTCTCAGTGAGCTGCTGGGTACACCTTCCAGACGGGGCGGTGGCCAGGCAGAGGGGCTCCTCACTTCCCAGAAGGGGCGGCCAGGCAGAGGCGCCCCCCACCTCCCGGACGGGGCGGCTGGCGGGGCGGGGGCTGCTCCCCACCTCCCTCCCAGACGGGGCGGCTGGCCGGGCGGGGGCTGCCCCCCACCTCCCTCCCTGACGGGGCGGCTGCCGGGTGGAGATGCTCCTCACTTCCCAGATGGGGCGGCTGCCGGGCGGAGGGGCTCCTCACTTCTCAGATGGGGCGGCCGGGTAGAGACGCTCCTCACCTCCCAGACGGGGTCGCGGCCCGGCAGAGGCGCTCCCCACATTCCAGACGGGGCGGCAGGGCAGAGGCGCTCCCCACATCTCAGACGATGGGGGGCCGGGCAGAGAGGCTCCTCACTTCCTAGATGGGATGGCAGCTGGGAAGAGGCGCTCCTCACTTCCCAGACTGGGCAGCCGGGCAGAGGGGCTCCTCACATCCCAGATGATGGGCTGCCAGGCAGAGACGCTCCTCACTTCCTAGACGGGCTGGCGGCCAGGCAGAGGCTGCAATCTGGGCACTTTGGGAGGCCAAGGCAGGCGGCTGGGAGGTGGAGGTTGTAGCAAGCCGAGATCACGCCACTGCACTCCAGCCTGGGCAACATTGAGCACTGAGTGAACGAGACTCCGTCTGCAATCACGGCACCTCGGGAGGCCGAGGCTGGCAGATCACTCGCGGTTAGGAGCTGGAGACCAGCCTGGCCAACACAGCGAAACCCCGTCTCCACCAAAAAAAAAAATATGAAAACCAGTCAGGCGTGGTGGCGCGCGCCTGCAATCCCAGGCACTTGGCAGGCTGAGGCAGGAGAATCAGGCAGGGAGGTTGCAGTGAGTCGAGATGGCGGCAGTACAGTCTAGCTTCGGCTCGGCATCAGAGGGAGACCGTGGAAAGAGAGGGAGAGGGAGACCGTGGAAAGAGAGGGAGAGGGAGATCGTGGGGAGGGAGATCGTGGGGAGGGAGACGGGAGAGGGAGAGGGAGCTAATTTTTGTATTTTTAGTAGAGACGGGGTTTCACCGTGTTAGCCAGGATGGTCTCGATCTCCTGACCTCGTGATCCACCTGCCTTGGCCTCCCAAAGTGCTGGGATTACAGGCGTGAGCCACTGCGCCCGGCCCATTTGACGGATATTTTAAGTGTTGGAGCCGAAGACTGAGACCTTGTTCTTTTTTTTTTAATTTATTTTTATTTTTTATTTGCTTATTTTTTCCAGAGTCAGAGTCTCACTCTGTTCCCCAGCCTGAAGTGCAGTGGCATGCTCATAGTTCATTGCAGCCTTGAATTTCTGGGCTCAAGCGATCCTCCCACCTCGGCCTCCTGAGTAGCTGGGACTACAGGTGTGCACCATCATGCCTGGCTAATTTTAAAAGTTTTTGTAGAGACAGGCTGTCACTTTGTTGCCCAGGCTGGTTTCGAACTCCTGGGCTCAAGCAGTCTTCCCACCTCAGCCTCTCAAGTAGCTGGGACTACAGGCACACACCACCATGCCTGGCTAATGTTTACATTTTTTGTAGAGATGGGGGTCTCACTATGTTGCCCAGACTGGTCTCAAACTCCTTAACTCAAGCGATCTCAAAGTGCTGGGATTATAGATATCAACCACTGCACCCGGACATTGGACACTGTTCTAGAAAAGAGAAAAATTATATGACTATCATCTAAGTGCCCGTGAATGATATACAGTCTGCAGGGGCTGGGAGATTCAGAATTGGGGATAATTCACTTCTACCTGGCGGGTCAAAGAAAGTATCATGAAGGAATCCTTTATAGGGGTTGTTGATTGAGATGGAGTTAAAAAAAGAGATTCTAAAAATGGAGATTGGGACCAGGTAAAGCATTGTTTTCCAAACCATACATCATGAGTCACACAATGCAAGCAATCAGTGTCAACCTGCACAAAAACCAGAGCGGAAAAATATCAGAGCGCGTTATGTGTGGCAAGGGCAAGCATTGTTCCATGAAACTTTTGCTTTGTTTTTGTATATTGAGTTGTGAAGTAAAATGTGTTTTTTATTGTGAACCAGACTTTGAAAATAAAGTTTGAAAACTGCTGGCCTCCAGCGGTGGCTGAATGGGCCTGGACTGTCTCCGGGAGATGGCTGCTGATTTCCTTGTGGGGGAAAACCTGGCCAACCTGGAAAGGGAGGGGACGGGTTTTCAGTGGGGTGGGGATCAGGATGCAACGTCATTTTGGGAAGCTGATGTGCAGTGCGGTACAGACAGGGATGAACAAGCCAACTGGAAAGCAGGAAGTCTGGGAACAGGGAGGTGGCCAGGGCCTGAGGTCCGCCAGGGGACAGCTTCTGTGGGCAGAGTGAGGATGCCTATGGCCACATCACCGTGCATTCTTCCCAGCGGCCCCAGAGCACATGTTCCTACTCTCCCTACCTCTGCAGGTTTGGGTACCTTACATCTCCCACGAGGCATGGATCCAACCTTCCTTCCCACCATGCCCCATGTTCCCAGGTGCTAGCTTCCAGCGCTTGGGCTTGCTACCCATGGGCATCTCTCTGCTCACCATGATGGCTGTGTCATTTCACATTCAGACCTGAGGATGTGCACTATCCTACCCCAGGCCACTGTGCCTGGCTGGCTTCCTCCTCCGTTCCCAAATTCCTGCTCTTCTATCAGCCTGCTTGATGTGTGGTGTCGCCCCTGACTGCTTTCTCCTGGTGGTGTTTGCCTCATTCCTTAACCTGTTTCAGCTTTCTTACGCACCTCCTCCACTTCCAAACCTTCTCAGCTGATGGGCTGCTCCTCTTTCCAGAGACTGAGTAGGACAGGCTTTCCAGGGTCCCTTCTGCCTCAGGAATCTTGTCTTGTGCTTCCTTTCCAAAGAAGGTTAGGCCCAGGCTCAGGGAGCCCAGTTCTCGGGTGGGTGGGAGCAGGCCACACATTTGCAGCCCTTGGAAGGGGTTCACAGATCCCGTGGAAGCTGGCATCCAGCTGCACCCACCAGTGTAAGAGGTCCTGGCTAAAAGGATGTGTGGTATGGAGCAGACGTGCTGATTGGTACTTTAGTCTAAGGTGGGTGGTATTCAATTCGTTAGAACCAGGGAACCCCCTCTTCAAACGACTGCTTATAAAGGCCCCCGACAGTTACAATCAGGGGTTGCACACTGGTAGCCGGTGTGCAAAATCAAATACAGAATCATGGGGGGTTTTTAGTGGTTGTTTTGTTTTTGGTTGCCCATGGTTTCACTTAAAAATGTTTCAGTTGGTTGCCAACATCTTAAAATCTGCAGGTTTTCCATTAAAAATCCAGATTTCCAGCTTCTCTTGCAAAAACGAGATGCTCTAGCAACACCAAGCCTGCCGCCCTGCTTGGCAACAATATGCTGATGATAAGTAGTGGGTTTCCAATTTGCGCAGTCTCCACCCATCTCTGCTGTTACCAGCGCTAAGGCCAATAGTGGAACAGTTGCCATTATTCATTTCATTTGGATTCCTTTTCTTATGGTTAGGGAAAGCAGGAAATATTCCCCGCACCCATGTCTATGAAAAGAAGGAAAGTAAGAGGGCCATGCTTTTCAAAAAAAAAAAAGTTAAAAGAGTCTCTTTCTTTCTGAAAGTGAATTTATGTTTCCTAAAGATTAATCTTCTAGGTCCAGAGGTCGATTTAGAACAGACCGTCTTTGTTTTTCTCTTGAAACTAGTGATTCTCAAAGTGGAGTGCCTACGTGTGCAACAGCTGCATCAGTTGGGGGCTTGTGAGAAATTCAGATAGTTGGATGGTACCCAAACCTACGGATCCAGAAGCTTGGAGGGTGGGCCCGGCAGACTGTGTCCTAACAGCCCTTCTGATGCATGCTGAAGCTTGAGAATCACCGCTCTGATGCTCAGGGGATGGATAGGACGCCAGCACCTCTTATTGTCACTTTCTCCTCTCCTTTTAAGACCCATGGGGGAGAGAGGTGAGGCTCCCTAGCCAAAGAGGAGTTAAGGATCTCACTGCCGTGCCCCTCCAGGCAGAGTCGGTACCTGCGGAGAGGGCTGGAGGAGTTCTTCCAGATTTTGAGATCTCAGCAAATCTCAGTCCCGTTTTTTCTAGACGATTCAGCACTTGCATCTGTGGGCTCCACAGATGCCACATCGATGAAGAGACCTGGTGCCTTCAACTGTTCTGGAGAGATGGTTCCTGGGCTCCCTTCCCATGGGGCTGGTGGTGTGTGACCCTACAAACAAGGGCTTCTCCAGGGTGACCAGGCATTCAGGCGCTGGGGGTCCTTGGGTGAAAATATGCCAGTTCTTTAAAATCATGTAGGTAAAGAGCCAGCCACACATGTACATTTCAGATCTAGCATTGGTAACTCAGACTGCTGTTTTCATAGAAGATCACTTGGCCTCCTTCAGCTTTCTCTCTAATGGCTTTAGTTACTTTAGTGGGCAGTGCACGTGAGCCAAGAAACCACGTCTTTTCCAAATGTATTTACTTGGAGGGCCCCAGGCTCGCGAAGCCGTTGTTGATCTTTTCCCCTTGGTCCATTTTATTCATTTGTGGTTTGGGGACCCCTGAGAGCATTTAAGTAGCCCAGACTCCTCCTAGGGTAAAATAGATAAATGTGTGGGTAGTGCTTTCATCTCTGCCTTCTTGTTTCCCTCTCTTCCTCCACCTTGCTGCCTGGGTGACCACAGGAAAGTAAGAAACCCACTTTCTAGGTGAGCTGAAAACCCTACTCAGAGACCAGGAAGAACTCCATGTAGCCAATGTGTGTTTATTGTGTACATTTTCTGTGCCTGGGGATGGATTTGAGTATGACACTATTGTTGTTCTCAAGGAGCTCCCATGAGTAAGGGATGAAGGCCGCTTATCTCAGGCCACCCAAAGGAGAGCCGCTGTGGGGGTGAGGTGTGGCTGTGCACGGGGGAGGAGAAGCTGGGCAGGGGCAGGGGCTAAATTGCCCAGGAGAAAGCCCCAAAGTGAGGAGCCTGGCCCACTAGACAGAGCAAGGTGGTTCCCCTTCTGGGCTGGAGAGTTGAACTCAAGCTCCCAGAATTCAGCCTACACGAGAGGGGCTTTCTGGTGACTGAGCGTGAGTGCGTGAGGGTGAGGACGGAGCCTCTGGCAGCCTGTGCCGCTTACTTGCTTTGCATGGGTGGGCAGGGGGTGCCTTCTGGGACTCCCAGCTCTGCCAGCTGAAAAACAAAACTGCTCACAGCTACGCAGTGTGTGGCACTCAGTTGGCATCCTTCTAGGGTGTCATTTCACTCGAGGGTGCTGGTCACGGCTCTTTGCTGTGGAGATGCTTCTCTTGGTAGTTTCCTACCCACCCTCTTAGACCTGTTTCTCCCCGCTGGGACCCCTCCCACTAGTTAATGAGGCTTCCCACTGGCAATCTCCTGTTACCTTCTACCTGATTATCAATTTGACAGTTGATGATCAAGGCCTTGGCAGGTCATGGCTTCGACTGTAACTTCAACCCTGGAGTATTTGCCTTTGGATATTGGATTCCTAGACGCCGCAGAGGAGTCTCAGGTATGATGGGAAAGTGTTTTGGGAACTGCCTTTTGCAGTTCTCGGTCAGGGACCAGGTTTGTTTCTGGGGCTCGTTTTCATTCAGCCCATCAGCTTTCTATGATTGTAAATGGAGGAATCGGGGGACAGTGTGGGGTGAGATGGAACTAGCACCAGTCTTGGAGACAGACTACTGGGTTCAAGCTAGCCCGATTATAAAATGAAAATAAATACTTCCCTCCCAGGGTTTTTATAAGGGTCAAATAAACTACTGTATATCAAGTTACTGGTCCACAGTAGTCCTTTAGCTACTAAAAACAACAAAAAGATAAGATCTAATGGTGAGATAAAGGCAGTGAATGTGATTTGGGGGATATCCAATGCTGGGGAAAAAGGGAAACTTAACCCGTTTTTCCTGCCTGTTATCCAGCCTGTCTCATTTTTGGGAGCTTGAGCGATCGATCTGGGGTACGAAATTTTCTTGGAGTGCCCTTGCCCATGTTCAAATGAAGGCACATGAGGCCATTTTCAGAAGTTTGCCAGGGTCTTGCACTGGTTTGTTTGCAGTTCTTGGTCAAGGACCATGTTTGTTTCTGGGTCTTGTTTTCATTTACCCCAGCAGCTTTGTATGGTTGTAGCCCTCGTGGACTTGCGTGTGTTCTCCGCCCTGTGAGTTTTACTGGCAGGGTCTCCTTCAGCTTTCTCTTTGTCTAATGGCTTTAGTTACTTTAGGGGACAGTCCATGCGAGCCAAGAAACCACGTCTTTTCCAAATGTATTTACTTGGAGGGCTCTAGGCCCGCAAAGCCATTGATGAGAACCTATTCTGATGTTTCTTTGAATTCTAGTCTCGTCATTCACGTGCTCTTTCCTTCAGTCAGCTCAGTTTATGTCAGAATGGTTAGAAGGTATCATTCTGGAGAGTTTAGCCGTGCTGTTGGGAAAGTCCGGGCAACATGAGTGACTCAGCGTTGGTGACCTCAGTTGATGGCTTTTCTCAAGGGGATGGAAAAGTATGGGATGAAGCTAATATGTACCTACCATTGTTTCTACTGTCTTATTTAATCCCTGCAAAAATTCTATGAAGTAGGTGGTGGCATCTGCATTTTCCTATGTGGGAAAGAAAAAAGATGAGGTTTGTAGAGGTGAAGTGCCTTGGCCAGGGTTATATGGCTGAGAAGCTGTGGAACCTGCATTTGAGCTTCCTCTCTGCTTGGCTGAAGGGCAGAAGCTGGGTTTAGGGGTAAGCACATGGATGTCTGTGGTCAACTGAGTGGTTTGCAGGGCATCTATCTTCTGTTCTTAGCCCCACCCACACCCCAGTGCAACAAGACATACCTTCTTTTGAGAATCTCTGTAGCAGAATGGAAGTTTTGGTTTCTAGAAGCTGCTGGAGTCTTCCAGGCCCCCTTGTTTGAATGGAGCTTTGCATCTCAATGATGTAGGGGAAAAAAAATTAGGCAGAAGAGGATTTGCCAAAAGGGAAAGTCAAGAGGGCTTATGACTTCACCCCTCGTGTATACACAGATGTTTCCTCCCTGGGCCCTTCCTTTCGTGGGGTTTGCCTGGCTGCTAACAGACGGGAAGTAGCTTGTGCTTCAGGAGAAGAGAGCTGGGCCTGATGGAGAGGGTCACCTTTTCCAGCAGTGTGGAGGTCATCTTGGGGAGTGGTCCTGAATGGGGCCTTGGTTCTGCTGTGCCATCTGACCATGTGCTAGCCCTCTAGTCATGGGGGTGACATCTGCACCCAGGTTTAGGGTGGGCAGAGGGCAAGGAGAGGGCTCTGTGTGGGTACTGGGGAGACTCGGTGTCCAAGCTCTGTCTCCAGGCCTCAGTTTGTCCATCTGTAAAATGATGAGATGTGATCAGATGATTACTAAGGTGCCTTCTGTCTCTAATTTTTGTGTTAGCGTTGCATTGGTTGAGAAAGTCATTTTGTCTCTGTTTTCTTAAAGATAAAGCCCCCCCACCCCACCAACTGTCTTGCCATTTGAAAGATAATACAATAAACCCTACCTGATAAATAGTACTCATTTTAGGGGATGTCAAATGTGATGGGATATGTCAAGGAGGGTTTTATTGGACTTGTTTAAATAATTTTAGTAAGGTGATATTCATGTACTAGCTGATAATAGAAAATAAGCTTAGAATTTTTAAAAGGCATTAAAATTAATATGCTCATTATAGAAAACATGGAAAATATAGAAAAACAGAAATAAGAAAATAATTAGGGGCATTCTTTTTTATGTTGTGTATATTTTTCTCCACAATTGGGATCATATAGTATATTTAGGATTGTATATGATGATTTGCTGATTGTAAAACTAATTTCAGACCGGGCGCGGTGGCTCACGCCTGTAATCCCAACACTTTGGGACGCCAAGGTGGGTGGATCACAAGGTTGGGAGTTCCAGACCAGCCTGGCCAACATGGTGAAACCCTGTCTCTACTAAGAATACAAAAAATTAGCTGGGCGTGGTGGCAGGCACCTGTAGTCCCAGCTACTCGGGAGGCTGAGGCTGGAGAATGGCGTGAACCCAGGAGGCGGAGCTTGCAGTGAGCCAAGATCGCGCCACTGCACTCCAGCCTGGGCGACAGAGTGAGACTCTGTCTCAAAAAAAAAAAAAAAAAAAAAAAAAAAAAGAAGTAATTTCAAAACACGTTTTAAAAATCAAAAAATTATTTTAAAATATTTTTAAATAAAGTAAAATTTTAAAATTGGTGAAAGAAATAGAATTGAAACAACCGGAGAATCCCCCAATACAAAGATAAGCTTTGTTAATGTGTCTGTGTCTTTCTTTAGTACTTCATTTGGGTGAGGGAGTGCTATTTTCCATATTGAGATCATACTGCATACTTTGATTTCTAAAGCAGGGACAGCTTTTAGAGGGAGGATGATATAAAGAGGGCTTTGATGACAGAAAGCATTGCCATGGGGTGGTTTATTGGTCTTACCCAAATTAAGGAAGAAAACAAGACTTGGTCCATTCAATATGAGTTTTTAACATGCAGAAAATAAAGACTGAAGTTCCACGGCGAAGAAAATGGCCACTGTGGTGCCTTACATAGCACAGTGTTGCTTTGGTGGACACGAAAAACAAAGACTTCTTGTTTCTGGATCCTCCCAGCAGAGTGTCCCTAAAGCTTGAATAGTCCTCATTGTTGGTATGCGCCTGGACAGAAAGGGAACATCAGTTATGCGTGCTCCTCACACATGGCCCATTGCTTCATCTGCACTGGCCTTGTAGGAGAAACTCGTATCCTGGTTCTGGGATGGACAGGAGCAGAAAAGGAGGTGAATGAAATACTAAGGCACTAATCTTCCCCCCCGCAATGAGCTGGAAAATCCACCAGGCAGCACACAGTTCTCTGGATTTTTGCATTGGGAGTTTGTACTGAGCAAGAAATGACTTACATATGCATTGTATTTGTATTATTACTTCCCCATGGCTGTGTTGTCTTCCTAATTTTCTCTCTCAGTGCCTGGAGGGTAAGGAGATGGTGTCTTCACTTGCATGCCTCTAACAGAACCTTCCTATTTCTTTCACTTGAAATACTCATACAACTTGATGGATTTGTATGTCTTGAATTACAAAGTTTTGGGTAAAAATTCACATTTGCAGTTTAGCTTCAGCAAATATTTATTGAATACCCACAGCAATGGACATAACAATGACTGTACCCCGTGAAGCTTTAAACTCAGTGGGGTTTGTCTTCTAGCACTTTCCAAGGGGTGATGCCAGGCCCTGTATGCACCGTGATAGAGCAGTGAGCAAAACAAAATCCCTGCTGTATGGAGCTTTTATTCTAGTAGAAAGAGCTCTCTAGCCATTGGTAGGGAGGGTAGAGGAGAAGTCTGAGGAAAATCTGATTTCCTGGGTAACCCTTTCTCTTTTTGCCTGTTTATATGAATGATTTTTTGTTGTTGTTGTTTTGAGATGGAGTTTAGCTTTGTCGCCCAGGCGCAACTGCAATGGCGCGAGGTTGCAATGGCGCGATCACCGCTCTCTGCAACCTCCGCCTCCTTGGTTCAAGCAGTTCTCCTGCCTCAGCCTCCCAAGTAGCTGGGATTACAGGTGCGCACCACCATGCCTGGCTAATTTTTGTATTTTTAGTAGAGACAGGGTTTCACCATGTTCACCAGGCTAGCCTTGAACTCCTGACCTCAAGTGATCTGCCCGCTTCACCCTCCCAAAGTGCTGGGATTCCAGGCATGAGTCACCGCGCCTGGCCTATATGCGTAATTTTAGATTATTTTTGCAATTCATTATTAATTTTATTAATACTTGATAATTTTAATTGCAATTGGTTATTAAGTTTAACCTATTCTGGTCTTTAATAATGGAATATTTTTAAACATATATGTTACATAGACTCTTGATTTCCTTGCTTTTTGTCCTTTGCAATTTGGGGACACTTTTCCTGTTAGCCCCGCAAGTCACTGATTTAAATGTTTATATTTGCAGTTACCCACAACTACAACTAAATATGGATTTAAATGAGCAATTTTTATATAATCCTCACCTCGTCCACTATCTTCTTTGTCATCCTTTTTATTCGAACTGCTTTTTTTTTCCTGTTATGATTTGCTGTTCCTCTTTCAAAGAAATCACAGCTTCTTACATTCTGACAGTTTCCTGACAGTTTTTCTTCTGAATGATTTTCTGAGACGTGCTCTTCCTTTGTGCTTTCAGGATGGTGTTTCCTCACCCTGCTTTTGCATATTTCCCCTCTTTATGCATTCTTGACACGGCAGGATCTATGTAAACGTGGCATGTACCAACAGAAAGTATCGACTGTCACTAGCCTTGGCACACTGTCGGCTTGGGGGAAGGTTGACTTCCCCTCACAGCTACCTGCCTGTAGGGTTCGATGGTGCACCCATCTCTCAGTCCAGTTTCTGTTTTCGAATTGGCCTTTGCCTGGTGAACTGTCACGTTACTATCTGGTCCTCTGATACTCCGAATTGATGGAGAACATGAAAACTCACAGTTCCTGGGGTCTCTTCTCAATGCCCTGCAGCCAGGGCATTGGCTGGGCTTGGCCTGTAGCATCTGTACCTTTCCGAACAGTGAGCACCCCTCCCACGCCCCTTGTTCTACCCTGCACTTCCTGCTCTCTTGTTTTCTGGGACTTGCTGTACCTAAATGGATGATGGGCAGTCCTCTCAGACAGCATCTGTGCTGAGAGGAGAGGGCTGGCTGCTCAGTGTTCAGGTCAGTGCAAATCCTGCATCTCAAATTAGAGACATGGAGTGGCAGAGGCATGAAGTGCAGCTCAGATTATGGGCAGAGAGTGGTGAAGGTGTGAAGTCTTATTTCCCCTTTTACAACTCATCTTGGTTTGCAAGATTTTCTTTTCTTTTCTTTTCTTTTCCTTTTCTTTTCTTTTTTCTTTTCTTTTCTTTCCTTCCTTCCTTCCTTCCTTCCTTCCTTCCTTCCTTCCTTCCTTCCTTCCTTCCTTCCTTTCTTTCTTTCTTTCTCTTCTTTCTTTCTTTTCTTTTCTTTTTTTTTTTTTGAGACAGAGTCTTGCTCTGTCACCCAGGCTGGAGTGCAGTGGCGTGATCTCGGCTCACTGCAACCTCCGACTCCCAGGTTCAAGCAATTCTCCTGCCTCAGACTCCTGAGTAGCTGGGACTACAGGTGCCCGCCATCAAGCCTGGCTAATTTTTGTATTTTTAGTAGAGACGAGGTTTCACTATATTGGCCAGGCTGGTCTGGAACTCCTGACCTCATGATCTGCCCGCCGAGGCGGGCAGTGTGCTGGGATGACAGGTGTGAGCCACCGCGCCCAGCGGTTTGCAAGATTTTCTGCATTTCCTTCATTGGCCTCATGGTTCTCGAGTTTTTTTTTTTTTCCTCCGATTCTGTTTGTCATTTTTGGATTTTGTTTTTAAGATTGGATGAGTTATTTCCTGTTCTTTTCCTCTTATTGCTGGTTTGATAGGCAGTGTCCTGGGGCAGCTGTCAGATGCTTCTTACAGGGAAGTCCCCTGCATCTCCTTTTGCCATGCCCTTAATCTCCCAGAGATTCAGTCACACGCCGGGTACCGTGTTCCTGTCGTTGTGGGGACGTAGTCAGTAGAGAATTCAAGTTCAGTTTTCTGGATTAAAAAAAAGAATCTCCAGAACCACTTTGTGGATGCTGCATGGTGACTTGATGTGTAGCCAGAGACAGTGTTTCTCAAAGTGTGCTGAGTTTCCAACTAAGGATCCGTGAGATAATTTTAGATCATGTGGAGATGACAGTTTTAAAGTTATATTTATTTTAGTGTGTAGTAGAAAGAAACCAAATCAAATCTGTGATTTCATAGATATTATTGCTTAGGGCCAGACTACATTTCAGTGGGATATAAGTCAGTTCGAAAAAAATATTGAGTAAATAATAGTGCGGCTGGTACACAGTGATGGATGGAACAAGGTGTCACAGTGGGATATGAATGACTGCAGGAAGGGGAAACCAAGCTGTGGGATCTCTTAGAATCAGGGCTGTTTGGAGGCCTTTTCAACTGGGTGCCGTTTCTGATATGTCCACTTGATACTTGGGAATTTTTTTTGAGATAGCGTCTCACTCTGTCGCCTAGGCTGGAGTGCAATGGCGCGATCTCAGCTCACTGCAATCTCTGTCTCCTGGGTTCAAGCAATTCTCCTGTCTCAGCCTGCTGAGTAGCTGGGATTACAGGCGACCACCACCACACTCAGCTAATTTTTATATTTTTAGTAGAGACGGGGTTTCACCATGTTGGCCAGGCTGGCCTTGAACTCCTGACTTCAGGTGATCCACCTGCCTCGGCCTCCCAAAATGCTGGGATTACAGGCGTGAGCCACCACACCCGGCCAATACTAGGAATCTTTTATGGGGTGGGACACATAGAAATTTTATAAGGGTCCTAGGACTCTACCATGATATGTACAAGAAACTGGCTGCAGTCACCTCACGGGAGCCCTCTGCCCAGCACAGCCCTTGGTCTGGAGCCAGCCACAGTCTATGGCCTGTCCTCTTTCTTGTTCTCTTCTTTAATGGCATCTTATCTAAAGATCTTGCTTCCCTTTGCATCCTATGCTCATAGGTCCTTGTGTGCCTGTGATCCAAGTCTACACCCATCACTCTTCCATATTTCTCTTTCCAAGATAAATGAGACACACCCTTTCTGTATTCAGCGAGCATTTTCTTTGGCATCTCACTTGGACACTTTTTTTTTTTTTTTTTTTTGAGATGGAGTCTCGCTCTGTCGCCCGGGCTGGAGTGCAGTGGCACGATCTCTGCTCACTGCCAAGATGAAGTGATTCTCCTGCCTCAGCCTCCCTAGTAGCTGGGATTACAGGTGCCCACCACCATGCCCAGCTAATTTTTTGTATTTTCAGTAGAGATGGAGTTTCACCATGTTAGCCAGGATGGTCTCCATCTCCTGACCTCATGATCCGCCCGCCTCGGCCTCCCAAAGTGCTGGGATTACAGGCGTGAGCCACCGCGCCTGGCCGGACACTCTTAACTACAGTTGACCCTCAGACAATGGATTTGAACTGCACAGATCTACTTATATGTGGATTCTTTTCAATTAATATATTGGAAAATATTTTTGGAGATTTGTGATAATTTGAAAAAAATTGAAGACAGACTACCTAGTCTAGAAATACCAAAAAAATTTAGAAAATGTTAGACATGCCGTGAATACATAAAATATATTCGATACTAGTTTATCATTTACTACCACAAAATACATACAAATCTACAGAAAGTTAAAATTTTTAAAATTTTACCCACACAAACACTCAGACTGTGTATGGCACCATTCATATTTAAGCAAAATGTAAACAAAGGCAAAGATGTAGTATTAATCATAACTGCATAAAACTAGCCATAGTATATACTGTAGTAACTTCATGGCCACCCCTAGTTGTTATTGCAGTGAGCTCAGGTGTTGAGAGCATCGGCTTGTCATGTGATGCTGATCAGCCCTGGATGAACAGTTCATCACTCCAGTAAATTGGGTATCGCAGTAAAATGTAAGCCCTCACTGTTCTATGTATTTTTCATCATGTTTAGTGCAATGCCATAAGCCTCGAATAACACCATGGGACCCATAGAGTGTGCCACTAGTGATGCTGAAAGCATTCCCCAGAAGCAGAGAAAAGTCCTGACATTACAAGAAAAAGTTCAATTGCTTGTCAGGTACCGTAGACTGACGTCTGCAGCTGCTGCTGCCACCATTTCAAAGGTTTCATCTTTTAAACAGATGATGTAAACTTATGGCATCAGTAAATACAGTACAGTACTGTAGGTGTATTTTCTCTTTCTTATGATTTTATTTATTTATTTAGAGACAGGGTCTCACTCTGTTGCCCAGGCTGGAGTGCAGTGGAGCAATCTTGGCTCACTACAGCCTCAACTTCCAGGGTTCAAGAATACTCTTGCCTCAGTCTGCCTAGTAGCTGGGTCTACAGGCATGCACCATGCCAGGTTAATTTATTTTTATTTTTTATCTTCACTTATTTTTGTAGAGATGGGCTCTCACTCACCAGACTGCCCAGGCTGGTCTCGAACTCCTGGGCTCAAGCCATCCTCCCACTTCAGCCTCCCAAGGTGTTGGGATTATAGGTGTGAGCTACTGTGCCCGGCCCCTTATGATTTTCTTAACATTTTATTTTTCTCTAGCTTACTTTAGGAATAAAGTCTGTAATATGGATAACATACAGAATACATGTTTATCAACTGTTTAGGTTATCGCTAAGGCTTCTAGTCAGCAGTAGGTTGTTAGTAGTTAACTTTTGAGGGAGTCAAAAGTTAGGTACAGATTTTCAACCACATGGGGAGATGGGGGTTAGCACCTCTAAACCCTCGTGTTGTTCAAGGGTCAGCTGTACTTATTTCTTCTTGTATCCCCCCTCTTCATTTGGTTTCTCTGCCTGATTCTCAGAACTCACATCGTTCATTCCCCATGTAGCCCCTGAGTGTTGAGCACTAGTCTGGTTAGAGGTGAAAAAGATGAAGACCTGGTTCTTGCCTTTGAAAGTCTTGGAGAGGGGCCCTGGGGGTGTTGCATGCACTAATGAAAGGCACAGGAGAGGGAGGGATTGGGCCTGAGGCATGCTGGGGGAGAATAATTCTTCTCCCACTGCTTAAGCAAGAGCATGCCCCAAGGTTCAGCTCAAGGTCCTTTCTTTCTCTGTGAACTCCTTGTCAGCCTGTAGGATCTCACCACCATCTCTGAGCAGATGCCTCCAGCTCCAGCTCCATGTGCCAAGGGCCAGACTCACCCCTACTCCCCACCGAACACTTTGAACTTGGATCCATGGTCAACAGACTCTACTGCATCCCCCTAAACTGGCTGTCACCATAGCCACATCTCTTCGAGTTACTGGTTCGAACTTCTGTCATTTCCTTCCGAATCAACTTCGCTGTCTCTCATTTCCTTATGTCCCGTCCTTTATCAAACCTTATTCTGCTTCGTACATCATGTTCCTCGGGCTCCAGTCAAGCCCTTGTTTTTTATCCCTGCTGTGAGGCAAGTTCTTTATCTTTTGGGAAGCCTCCCTGTACCATCCCAGCCAAGAGTGACCTCGCCCTCCTCTGGATTCTGAAAGCTCTTATTGTCTGCCAGCTTATCACATAGCATTTGGCACTGTTGAAGACTCCTTTGATACTTATTCCTTTTTTTTGCCCATGTTTGCGACTTAGCTTCCGAATTTTAGGAGTCAGGTCCTACATACAATACCTGCCTGCATCCCACACAGGATTCAGGAAAGGGTAGTTAGTAACTATTAGTTGGTTGATTGATCATGCAGACAGGGGGCCACGTATGGAGGAAGGGGGCGTCCCTGAGACCCTGTACCCTAGAGACTGCTTGGGCTGATGAATAATTTTTCCGTTCATGACTGTGAAGCAGTTACAAAAGTGAGTCATCACCCTACCCAGATGTGTTTTCTTATTAATTATCTTTTTTTTTTTTTTTTTTTTTTTGACGGAGTCTCGCTCTGTCACCCAGGCCGGAGTGCGGTGGCACTATCTCAGCTCACTGCAACCTCTGCCTCCCAGGTTCAAGTGATTCTACTGCCTCAGCTTCCCAAGTAGCTGGGACTACAGGCACGTGCCACCACGCCCAGCTAATTTTCGTATTTTTAATAGAGACAGGATTTCACAATATTGGCCAGGCTGGTTTTGAACTCGTGACCTCATGATCTGCCCGTCTTGGCTTCCCAACGTGCTAGGATTACAGGCATGAGCCACCGTGCTCGGCCTATTAATTATCATTTTAAGACAACCCAATTCATCCTACAGAGGACAAGGGCCTACAGCAAATAAGGCCTATTTTGGTTGACAGTTTTCAACTTGACTGAAACGAAAAAAATAATAAGAGGGTTGGTCTTATCTGATGCCGTTGAACTCAGGAAAACTCAGGTTGGTGGAAATATCATCAGTCTTTTTGCTTTGGGATCACGGATTCTCTGCTGTCTGCCGTTCGTGTGTGTGGCTTCATATGTAGCAACCTATCTATTTGCAGAGGCCACAAGGAGAGACCAGTAGCGTGTTTTTCACGGCCAACGCTAATCACTAAGGATGGTTAATAAAGGAAAACCAAAGTGACTTCTGGATTGAGATGCTAGGATGAACCCAAACAGTAAACCCTTAGAATGTATTCGTGAGTCTTCCATACTCTGAGAGATTAACTTTGGGGAATCCTAAAGAATTAAATGTCTGCAGGACTAGTGTGTTCTGCTGAGGTCAGGCCACAGCAGATCAGCCTCCTGGTTTGTAATGGCCCGGAAAGGTCCCTTGCCCTTGGCTGGGGGCCCTACTGGGATTTGCAATGACAGTGATTTCTGTGTGTTGCCTGGAGTGATGCATTGTTGTCTGTGATTGTATCTGTTCGTCTGTGTGATGCAATGTCAAAGTGGTGTCGGAGACGGCTGTTAATGTTTAACAGCATCAAAACTGTCCCCTCTTTGCTGTTACAAAACTGAGGAGTCACAGGCTATGAAAGCTTTCATGGCCATTTTAATTTCACAAACCTGTAAGGACTGAAGGTGAAGGTCTTGGCCATCTAGGTTCAAATGAAGTTTTGCTTTTACCTTCTTCTTTTTTTTTTTTTTTTTTAGGCAGTCTTGCTCTGTCACTCAGGCCGGAGTGCAGCTGCACGATCTTGGCTCACTGCAACCTCTGCCTCCTGAGTTCAAGCAATTCTCCTGTCTCAGCCTCCCTGGTAGCTGGGATTACAGGCGCACACCACCACGCCTGGCTAATTTTTGTATTTTTAGTAGAGGTGGGGTTTTGCCATGTTGGCCATGCTAGTCTCAAACTCCTGACCTCAGGTCATCCACCTGCCTCGGCCTCCCAAAGTGTTGGGATTACAGGTGTGAGCCACCGTGCCCGGCCCGCTTTTACCTTCTTATGGGTGAGAGCCCATCTCCAAGAACAGAAAAGTATCTTGGTCCTGTCTATTTCTGTAGCATGTCTGACCTCAAAAGCGAGTGTGTGGATTCGTCACCCGGCCTCTCCTCCCACACTGCAGAGAGAAGATGCAAATAACTCAGCTGCCGGTGGGGGACTCCCCACCGCTGGATGTGATGCTCTTGCCTCCTCTTCATGGCTGGTTTGGGACCATTTTGCAAGTGTAGGCTTGAGCATTGCCTTTCTCTTGTTTTTATGATGGGTGAGAGGGGGGAGAGAGAAAGAAGGTGGGGGGGATTCTATAGCCGGTTTCCTCCCTCTAGTTTCTCCCTCACATTTGACCTTTTTATACCCTGGTATCATGATGATTTCTACAAAGCACAGCCCTGATTGTGACTTCTCCCTGGCTCAGAATCCACTGATGGTTTCTTCTCCTTTATAGAATCGAAATTTCTTAGTTCTTGGTGTCCTCATGGCCTCCCATGATCTGATGCCATCCTTCACTACTATATTTCTCACCTCCCATGCCTCTTAAACTCTAATGAATGGATCCACCTGCTTTTCCCCCACAGCCTCTACCCACACGGTTTCTCTCTCACCTTGGCTCAGGCTGGCCCCATGGCCTAGAATATTGCCCCTGTGGCTTGTTCTTCTGACCCATCCTGCCCAATCTCTCGCAGGAGCCTCTGTTTTCCTCTGTTAAATGAGGGCGATCATAGAATTTTCCTTTTTGGTTTGTTAGAGGGATTAAGTGACATGAAACATGTGAAGCATAGAACAGCGCCTGGTCCAAAGTGAGTGCTCAGTACAAGATCCTCACAGCCACTCCTGCAGCAGATTGAAACCCAGCAATTAGAGAGGGAGGAAGAGTCCCCCCAGCAGCCACGTCAGTAACTTTAGGAAGGAAGAGATGGGCCCTGCTGTCAGGCATGTAAGAGAAAAGACCAGGAAGGTGGGATGCGGACACAGAAGGAATTGATATGTCCAAGGGAAAGGCACATTGTCACCCCCTCTGGGAGCCCCAGAGGGTGCCACACCCCTAAACGGAAAATCCCTCGATTGACATTAGGATGCTGGCTGTGTCACCTCGGTCTCCCCAAGATTGAACGCAAGACGAGCCATGGTGAGTGAGTCCTGCTATAGGTGGCCAGCCTCGTCGTCTTTATTTATTTATTTATTTTTGAGACAGGGTCTCACTCTGACGTCCAGGTTGGAGTGCAGTGGCATGATCTTGGCTCACTACAACCTCTGCCTCCCGGGTTCAAGTAATTCTCCTGCCTCAGCCTCCTGAGTAGCTGGGATTACAGGCGCCCGCCACCATGCCTAGCCAATTTTTTGTATTTTTAGTAGAGATGGGTTTTCGCCATGTTGGCCAGGCTGGTCTCGAACTCCTGACCTCAAATGATCCACCTACCTCAGCCTTCCAAAGTGTTGGGATTACAGACGTGAGCCACCGTCCCTGGTCCCACCCTCATCTTCTAGGTGGGCTTTCTCTTCACCATTGCCAAGAGGCTGGGGCAGCTTCCCTCTGGGTGTACATGGAGAGCCTGAGGTGGTGTATCTCATGAAGCGGCTTATGGGTCACAGGGTCTTTTGATCTAAACTATCTCTGTGGGTCTTGGGGGCTTTTTTTTTTTAATCATGGCAAAATATGCATGACATGAAATCCACCATCTCCATCAGTTTTAAATGTATAGTTCAGTGGCTTTGAGTATACCCACGTGTTTGTGCAGCCATCATCACCACCATTAATCTCCAGAATGCTTCCATCTTGCACCAGTGACACTCTGGACCCATTAAACACAAACTTCCCATCATTCCCTGCCCACAGCACCTGGTCACCTCCATTCTGCAACCTGTCGCTATTAATTTGACTTCTCTAGGTGCCTCATAGAAGTGAAGCAAATGGTATTTGTCCCTTTGTGTCTGGCTGTTGCACTGAGCATAATGTCCTTAAGGTCCATCCACATGGTTGCATATGTCAAAATTTCCTTCCAATTAGCCAGGCATGGTGGTGCGCACCTGTAGTCCCAGCTACTTGGGAGGCTGAAGCAGGAGAATCGCTTGAACCCAGGAGGCGGAGCTTGCAGTGAGCCGAGATTGCGCCACTGCACTCCAGCTTGGGTGACAGAGCAAGACTTCGTCTCAAAAAAAAAAAAAAAAAAAAAATTCCTTCCTTCTTAAGGCTGAGTAATATTCTATTGTGTTTATTTTACTACGACTTGCATTGTTTCCACCTTCTGGCTCTTGTGAATAATGTTGCCATGAACAGGCAGCAAGACCCTCCCTTCAGGACTCTGCTTTCAGTTCTTTTTGGTATATACCTATTAATGGAATTGCTGGACCATATGGCAATTCTTTGTTTAATTTTTTTGAAGAATTAACACACTATTTTCCACAGGGGCTGTACTATTTTACATTCCCACCAGAAGGGCACAAGGGTTCCAACAGTTCTCAATCCTTACTAGTACCTGTTCTTTTCTGTTTTGTTGATATTTGTTTATTTGTTTGTTTTGAGACAGAGCCTTGCTCCGTTGCCCAGGCTGGAGTGAGAGTGGTGTGATCCTAGCTCACTGCACCCTCCGCCTCCTGGATTCTCCTGCCTCAGCCTCCCAAGTAGCTGGGACTACAGGTATACACCACCACGACTGGCTAATTTTTGTATTTTTAGTAGAGACGGGGTATCACCACGTTGGCCGGGTTGGTCTTGAACTCCTGGCCTCAAGTGATCCACCCGTCTTGGCCTCCCACAGTGCTGGGATTACAGGCATGAGCCATTGTGCCTGGCCTTGTCTGGTTTTTTTTTTTTAAGAACCTGTCCTAATGGGTGTGAGCTAATATCTCACTGTAGTTTTGATTTGCATTTCCCTCATGATTAGTGATATTGAGCATCTTTAAATGTGCTTATTGGTCATTTTTATATCTTCTTTGGAGGAATATCTTTTGCTCATTTTTTTAAATTGGGCTGTTTGCTTTTTATTGTTCAGTCTGGACTCTTTTTGGACCCGGGGTAACTGCAGTGCCTACCTTTCAGCCACTGGTGATAGTAACAACAAAAATCCTAGCTTTCATTGAGCATTTACTTCGTCCACTAGGTGAAATGTTTACATGGATGCCCCACCCCCACCCCCTTTAATCTCTCACAGCAATCTTTTGAGAAAGATACTGTGATCATCTGCATTTTACACTTGGAGAAATTGAAGCTGGAGCCGTTGCCCAGGGTCTTGGAGCTAGTATGTAGTAAAACAACAGCTTAGCTCTGGTCTGACTCCATCCTTAGACGATTGTACTTATTTTCTTCCCCCGACCCAAGGAGCTGGCATTGAAACCTCTTCATAAATAAGTTTATCCATTTGCTTAATAGGGAACCACTCGGTCCTCAGGATCTTGGTTTCTCTAGAAAACCATATTTAATTCTATATAAAGAATCAGTTCCTAAAACCCCAAAGGTTTGCATCTGAAAGCAAACACAGAAATATGCGGCATTTTGAGTGCTAAATAGTCAGCTGCTCCAAAAACCTTTCTAAACGGAGTGATAGGATATATTCATGAAGGATCCAAGCCCTGCCCAAGCTCATTTAGTTGGTGGCTGCAGTATTGCTCTTGGGGTCCAATCCTTTCTCCACTTGTAACTAATGACTTTGTGATCCTCAGGCCCCTTTCAGTGGAGACCTCACATGAGCCTGTCTTTGTTCGTTATCTGTCCAGGTTTGATGGTGGCGAGGGCAGAGTGAAGGCAAGAGACCTTCATCTCGCCCCTCTGGAGGCACCAGCTTTCCACACAGTGGTTCTTTGGGGGAACATTCTCCGTTCTTTTTATGTTGGTTTTTATCTGGCCTTGGGTTCACACAGCTGGGGCCGGGGCCGGGGCCAGGACCAGAGCTGTGACTTAGGGTTGGGAGGAAGTTGGCCAAAACATTCTCCAGCAGGGCTTGGGCAGGCCCAGGAAGTCCCGCCTAAAACACAGTGGACAAAGCTGCCCTTGTCCACAGGCCTGGGGGTGGGAGGCATCTGCTCAGTGACACAAGCTTGGCCATTGTTTGTTGTGACCTCAGCCAACGTTTTTTAGCTGAGAAAGGGGAAAAAGAGGGAGAGTGGGAAAAAAAGAAAGGCCTCCAGAAACATTGCATCTGGAAAGTCCAGAACAAGTTGTTAATTTCCCAGCAAGCACTGGAGCGGATTTGGAAGGAACTATGCAATGTAGTGGGTTCTTTGTGAAAGAACAGCAATGAGCAAAGCCACAGGAACCTCCGCTGGGGTGCCCAGAACACTGGCCCTGGGCTAGCGACTTGCCTCAGC